>NC_000010.11:78173398-78324913 GCF_000001405.40 Homo sapiens
GTAGATACTGGTCTCCTGTCCCTTTCTCTGTCTCCTATCTCTTTCCCAGGAAGAATATGACACAGTGAAAACTTCTTCTTTCCGGCTCCCTTGCAGACACTTGATTTCTCTGCAAGGGAGTGAGTGGGCGAGTGGCTATCTGCAAAGCTGTCTCCCCAATGCTCTGGATCCTGACTCAGAAGGGTGTGAAACTCCCTGCACATGGGGCATGAATGGAACCTCTGGGAGTTCTTTTGGGGGCTAAACAGACTCAAGGACTAATTAGCTAATGCCTGTGGAGTGCCTGGGAATGTCAAGTGCTGAGTGTGAAGTGCCATCACTTGAGATGGCTTCCCCTCTCTAAGCCCTCCACGGAAGATGTGTCGATTACTGCGTATGGAGGAGCTGTTGCTGAGTCTCTGGTTGGGGCTCTTAATCAGGCAAATATTTACAGTCCCCATGAGGTACTCAGGGCTTCACAGGCCCCAGAGGCTGCAGCTCGCAGCTTGGCCCAGGGCCACTAGACAGGGCCTTGGGGAGTGTTTCTGGGCTGCTGGTTCCTCCATGGTGCCCATGTGAGATTCTGCAGCCCAGTATCCCTGGGCCCCAGACCACTCCTCCTGTGCAACAAGCTCTTCTAGGGCCCTCCAACCCACATAGACAAGCCCTGAGGTTGCTGCTTGGTCTTTGATCATCCATCCAGGGCATGAGTCTGAAATCTTCTTCCCTTTTAAACCTGTTCTTCCTCCTTCTGAAGGCGGCATTGTCATCCTCCCCAACACTTCAGGCATCTTTGATCATTACCCAGAATGTTCAGCCACCCACCAAGCTGTTTGGATTCTTTCTCTGTATGAGTTCTGACATATACCTCCTGTGCATCCCATCACCACTGCCCTCGTTCAGGCCATCATCCGCTTCCCTGGTGCATTGCTTTCATCTCCTGGCCACTCTTCTAGCTCCTAGTCTGCTCTCCACATAGCCAGTGGAGGCTCCTTCTGAATCGCAGTTCTGATGGAATCCCCCCTTAATGAACATTCAATGGCTTCCTATGGTTTACAGAATAAAATTTGAACTTTTCTGTCTGCCCGGGGGTCCATTGTGATTTGGAGAAAGTCCTAATTGAACTTTCTCACTTTATTTTCAACTCTCTTCTTCTATGTTCCCACTGCTCCACCCAGCCTGAACTACTCTGGAGTTTGGGACCACTCCCTCAGTGAACCATCCAAGCCCTTTCACCTCTTGTCTCTTTGTGTATGTTTAGAGAACAGATTAAATATCACATCGTTCTTCTCTCACCTCCCATAACAATCTGATCCATGTTCTGGGAGAGCTATAGAGGCTTTTTGACTTTGTATTGCAGTGATGAGTAGGGAGTCAGCTTCATGCCTCCTGTATTAATGCTGTGTCTGGCCAAGATGTTTCTGACATCCGAGTGTGGTGCTATAATACAGTGATCCCTCTATCAATACAGAAGATGGTAGCATTTAGTCCCAGTTGCCTGCTCACTGCTTGTTATCTAACTGAACTTGTGTATGAGAGTCTGTCTTTTCTCCCTGCCTTCAAGGAGCTCCTTGTACCTAATATTTTTCCTCAGTGCCAGCAAATATTAGTTGTTCAATGCTTGTTGAAACAATATGAACGTGTGGCTTCAGAGACCTCTGTGTATAGTAGATGTGGCATCTCTTCCTTAGGATGTATTTCTGTGAGCTGGGCTGAAGGGACATGGCAGCCAGTGTGGGCTCCATGGGCAGAGCTCTGCTTGGAGTCCCCCTGTGGTCCCTTCCAGATTCTGGGTTCTCCAGGTGACAGTACCTGCAGAGGTCTCCTACTGGGAGACCAGGAAGGCAGGATGCGGAGACTGAGGGCCTAAGGGCAGAGAGCCAGTCTGGATGGGCAGGTAGAAGCTCAGGTGGTGGAAGCATTTCCTCAGCCATGCAGGGGTGGGGCTGCTGGGAATCTGGGGCATCATCTGTCCCCACCGGGTTGGGTGATGGGGCAGTGAGGAAGTGAGATCCTGCTGGAGCATTTCCATTGCCTCTGGAAAGGGGCCCAGTCTGGAGTTAACCCGGATATTAGATGGCAGGCGATCTAAAGGTATTAGGTCCAGTTTTGGTTTCTTTTCTTTTTCCTTAAAATAAAACAAATAGGGGTATCTTTACCCAGTCTAATTTGTGCAGTCCTGGGAGTCCCACATTGCATAATACTAGGGTGTTATGGCAGAGCTCCTGGACTTGAGCTACATAGTAGCCCTGTGATACAATTTGGATCTATGCCCTTGCTCAAATCTCATGTTGAATTGTAGTCCCCATTGTTGGAGATGAGGCCTGGTGGGAGGTGATTAGATCATGTGGGTGGTTTCTAATGGTTTAGTACCATCCCCCTAGTGCTGTCTTGTGATAGAGTTCTCCCAAGATCCGTTTCTTTAAAAGCATGTGGCACATTCCCCTCCTCTCTTCCTCCTGATCCAGCCATGCAGCACATGCCTGCTTCCCCTTCACCTTCCACTGTGACTGTACGTTTCCTGAGGCCTCCCCAGCCATGCTTCCTGTACAGCCCATGGAGCTACAAGGCATTAAACCTCTTTTCTTTATAAATTATCCCGGCTCAGGTAGTTCCTTATAGCAATGTGAGAATGGACTGATACACCTTGTCCGGTCCTGACTTCACAATCTGGTAGCCTGCTGAGCAGATAAGGTCCTCTGGTCATTTTTGTTTGACCTATCAGTGTTGATAAAAATTGAGCTAACATTTTACAATTGTGAGACTTTGTATAACATTTCACATTTCTGGTTTCTTTTAAAAAATGGGAAGACCTCACAAGACTGGGCTTCTTATTCCTACAAGGCAACTGTAAGCTGGACAGTTTGCCTTGTAGGCAGTGGCTGCTGCTCCAGGCAGGGCAGGTGACCCCACCGTGCCTCGGAAATCACTTGGCTTGTGTCATTCACTTATTGTCCTGACTCATGGCCTGGTCTTAGGTCACAGTCAAGGAGAATGTCACTGATACAGTGGAGGACCCTTCACCATCATATGTGAGGCCAGAACAATGCCATCGAGCTAAGCTGTGTGTATCCGAATGATAGAATGTCAGAGTTGGAAAAGCCTTTCTGGAACTTTGTCCCTATCTCTCCTATCTGCAAACACAGACCTGGAGCCAAGGGCCAGAAAGGGACTTTCCCAAGGCCACTCCGTGAGTTGATGGCAAAACTGAGACCAAAACCTGGTTGTCCTTACCCACAAGCAGGAGTCTTTCCTGGTTAGAGACAGAGCGTCCTGTCTTCCCTTCCTTTGTGCCTCTCATTTCATGGCCATCAGCTCCATTGCAGACCTGTGTGGAAACTGGAGGAAGACTGTGATGGGGAGGGCTGGGGAATAAAGGCCGGGGAGGCCCAGGCTGCTCAGGATAAAGGCTGAATACAGGGGCGTTCAAAAGCCACTGGGCACTGAGCGAATTAAGCCATGCTTGTCTCCGTTGCCCGGGTACTCTTTATGCATCACATAATGCCATTGTTCAGCCAGAGCCAGGGGCCAGAACGAGCACTTTCTTTGCAGGTAGGCAGCCAGTGCAGGCCCAGCAGCAAGAGAAGGAGCAGGAGAGGCTGGAATATTCTGGCTTGAAAACAGCAGCTGTGTAATAAAGCCGGGCTGGTTTGTCTCAGGGCCCCGCTGTCCCTTCTCCCCGCCTCAAAGTAGCAGCATGAATCAGTTCACTGCGGCAATGGTCCAGGCGATGTGACTTGCATCCCCATCAGCTACCTGATTGCGGTCCCTGGATGCATGAGGCGCTGGATGTGCCTGGCATACCAAACTGCCCGCCTCTGTGCCGCAGCTACTGGTAATGAAGATCACCGGCCCCGCCCAGCACTGCGGACAGAGCCGGGCATTCTTCAAGGCCACCACTGGTCTTTTATCTTGTCCAAGGCTCTGGGATAGTCACCGAAATCCTTGGGCTGCTTTTGACGGGGGCCACCAGCCTGTCTCAAAGATGCCCTGACAAGCCCCTCCAGCCCTGGGCAGACAAAGGCTTGAAAGGAGAGGAATTGCACACGGTCCAGACGCTGCTGTTTCTAATACGTTATTTTGACACACAATTAACTGCAAAATTTGCTCTAAGCTAAGAGCTCGGGCCCTCACAGGATTCGTACAGCACAATTCAAGCAGGATTTGGTTCTGTGAAACCTCATTTTTCCTGAAGGGCTAGGGATTGCCGGCTCCCCACGGTGATGCCACCCCTCTCAGGGCTGGCTGTGGGCACCGATCAGAGAGGAAGCATCAGCCCGCCCACAGCCCAGCATGGGGCCAGGGGAACCATGGCACGAGTCATGGGAGGGGGTGGATAAAGCTTGCACAAAACCGTCCAACAGAGCTCCCTGAACAACAACCCTTCCTAAAATGGTGTCGCTTATCCTCCGCTGACAAAAGCCTGATTTGAGCTCTCCCCGGAGGTGGGATGAAGCGAACACATTGCCTTTTATCTCCCCGTCGCTTTGAGAGGGGAAGACAACTGGTACAGAGCATGGTGGGGAGCCCTGGAGAAGGCACTCTTGAATGAAAGGCATAATCTCCGGCTCCCCCAAACCAGGAGGGGAGGCAGCTTTCATCCCCCACCGCGGCCCGCTCCCCCCGTCCTGGAGGCATCTGAATGGGAGTGGGGAGCTTGGAAGGAGAGGCTCCTGCCGCTGCACAATGCCACACAATATTGCTTCTCTCCAGGAGCCCAGAGGAGGCCATGGGTGTACAGCATCTTACTTTGAAACCAATTCTCCAATCAGCTATTTAAATAAGAAATATAATCTCATTGAACACCCAGAGCTGTTAGTCTGAGATGCTTCCATTTACAAGGCACTTGAAGAAAGTCCCCAAGCCCCCGGTTTATCAGGACAGCCAGCTTAGGATGACTTACTGGGGGAAAGAGAGGTGCTAGAGAGGGAGGGGAGAGAATTGAAGTTGGCCGTTAGAAATCCAGGCTGTCGACTGCTTGAGTGGTGAACCCATGCCGCACCTGTCGGTGCTCTATGCGGAGGAGGTGGGAGAGGTCTGTGGGTTTTCAGAAAACCATCCGATAGCAGGCAATGCCCTGTAAAGTTGTGAAGGGGGAAGAAGGGGCACAAAGCATTGTCTATCTCTCTTTTGGAAACATTGTTTTGAGTACTGAAGTCATTGCCACAGCATTTTTTTGTCAGAGGCCAAGTGGCTGTTAAGACCCAGTGGGTGAAATTCCCCTGACGAAAACCGGCCCAGCAAGAAGTGGGGGCGATAGCCTTGACTGACCCTCCCCTGCCTGAGCTCACGGTCTGCCTCCGGCACCAGCCATGTTTCTAGGCATTCTGGAGAGGGAGGCTTGAGAGCCTGTGCTGACCACTGTGGGAATCCTGAGAAAGCTCGTTTGCCACGTGCTAGCTTTTAATCTATGTGCAGCTCACTCACCTGAGGCCTCAGTGTTTATCACTTGCAAAATGGGTTGTAAGGACCAGGTGAGCTGAATGTGGACCGTGCCTGACAGGTGGACTGTGCCCCATACAGGATGGATACGATTCTACTGTGATGATGGCACACTCCGTCTCACTCACAACTTCGGGGAACATGGCCCACTGCTCAGGTTCTGGCATGTCATTTCTGGTCAGTAGCCCCGCCCCTCCTTGCCCTGTCCTGTTCTGCCCAATTCTGCCCCACTCTATCTTGCTCCCTTCAAAATCTATGGTGCTGATGACCGCCTGTGAGAGGTGATATCCTGTGAGAGGCTGGGAAGGGGAGTGTCCGTTTGAGCTGGAAGGCTGCCTGGAGGAGGTGTGGCTTGAACTGGGCTTGAGCAGTGGGAAGGATTTGGAGAGCGGAGGAATGAAGGAGAGCAGAGAGGAGAGGCTTGGAGGTAAGAACGAGCAGAGAGGGAGGGCTGGGGAAGCCAGTCTGCAGGGAGGGGAGGGGAGGTGAGGCGCTATGCTGGGGAGAAGGAGGGGAGAAGGATGGGAGGTGGCGGAACCCTGCCACTCCTTTCTTGGTTGCTTTGCACCCATCTGACGTCCTTGCTGGTCAGAGGATGAATCTGGCTAGAGCGGAGCAGAACTGAAGAGCAGAGCTATGCAGCCCTGGAAGCATCCTAGAGACCAAGACCCTCAGGGGCAAGGGCAGGGTGCTCACTCAGCCACACCGTGGATCAGCAGCAGGGCAGGACCCCACCCTGTGCCTCCTGTCTCTTTCTCCCGTTATGACAGCTAGCTCTGATGAGCACCTACTGTGCACCAGGCACTGTTCTAAGTCTTGGAATGGGTTTCCACAGTTAGTCCTAAGACAAGCCTGTCAAGTAGGGAGCATTGCTATCCCCATTTTAGAGACGAAGAAGCTGAGGCCTGGAGTAGTCTTGAACCTTGCCCGAGGTCACACTGCCAGGAAGAGGTAGAGCCCACAGGCCACCAGCATTGAGCTCCTTTCTGACCTCTTATCTTTGGGGAAGGTTGGCCCAGTTTCCTTCTCCTTTCCTGAAGGAGCGTGTGCGTCCTTGCTGAGACCAGGAAAGGAGGTCTCAGCTTCATTTGGTATTCCCTCCCTCCTTAGTAAAGCACGTAAGTGCCTTCTGCGCTCCCGGAACGTCAGGGAACATCAGCAAACATCAGTGAAGCGGGAGACGAATGCCCCCAAACCCGTGCCCCGTGGTGCAGGAAGGGCTGGCTCACTCGGCTGACTTCCATTAAACATTTGATGCATCACAGAACTGCCGAAAACCATCCATCAGGCCATCCCCCTCCGCCTGCCTCCCTGCCCTGCTCACAGAGGGGGTTCGGCCTCAGCCTGCATTCCCTGGCTCCAGGGAAGAGAGAGGAGAGGGGCAACACCCAGCCATGGCTGTGATGCTAGTAAGAGCACCATGTATTGAATGTCAGTGTGCCCAGGCAGACCTCAGCACATTACAGATTTTATCTCATTGAACCCCATGATCGCTGATAGGTGTGGCTGTTATCGTTCAGTAGATGTGGAACCTGACATCAAAGAGGGCCATAGTCACTCTGAAGGAGCTAGGGCCGCACTGAGCCCAGGGATATGAGTTGAGAGCCCCCTCCGCCCTTCTGCATTCCTCGATGGGGTGGAGCAGATCAGGTACTGCACAGTGGGATGGGGCCAGAGCAGCACAGTGCATTTAGTGATTAGTGACCCGTGGAGGTCAGCCCCGGCCAGAGCAGGTTGGGGGACCCCAGCACAGGGTGAGTTGCAGGACAGCGGTCCATGGGTAGTCCAAGGCACTCTGTCCTTCCCTCCACCCGGTTACTGCAGCCTGACCAAGTTTTCCGGGCTCCCCCTTCTCCCTGGGGACCCCATTCAATCAGAGGCCAGTCTCTTTGGTTCTCCCAGCTAGATGTTCCTGAATTCACAATCTCACCCCCTTTCCTTCCATATCATGGCCCCTCTCGTGGGGGACTGCCCCAGCCTCCTGCTGGTCTCTGGCCTCACCTTGCCAATTTCTTCTCCCCACTGTAGCCAGAGGGATTGTTCTAGAACCCATGTCTGCCCTCTGGTTCTTCCACTTAAAACTCAACCTGACTGCCTCACATGGGATGGAGCCCACATTGTGCACTCAGCCTGACCTCCCCAGGACCCTCCTGCCCGTCCCTTGCTGGCTGCCCCCATGCTCATGCTGGGGTCTCGGCTGTGCTGTGCTCGCTGCAGGAGAGCCATCCGCTGCTCCTTGGCTGGTGAATTTCTGCTTATCGTTCAAACTCCAATGCAGAGCACCTTTCTTCCAGGGAGTCCTCCCTGATAACCTTTATGTGCTTCATCCCAACCAGCACAAACCGCACTGTCCCATTTGCTTCCCTGCTTGTCTGTCACCCTCTATTGATCATCAGTTCCAGGAGGGCAGCGAATGTGCCCCCTTCCCCACTGCTCCCCTAGAGTAACATGGGGGCTGCTCCACAGCAGGCCCTCCAGGAATGGATGGCTGCATGATGAATGAATGAATGATGCCTGATACGGCTAAGACTGGAATCCCCCAAGGTGCAACAAGGGTCGGGGACTCAGACGCAGGTGGCAACCTAGCAGTGGGGAGGTGATGTGGTGTTTGGAGTTTAACTGACCCCAGTGCTTACAAGCTGTGTGGCCTCTGCCTGCCTCAGTTTGCTTGCATGCAACATGGGTATAATGACAACTCCTTTACTGAGAATTTGTCCTGAGAGGCCCTGGAGATAATACCTGGGCAGTGCCCAGCCCTGTGCTAGGCACAGAGGAGGATAAGGTGGGGCTCCCTCTGGGGCTTGAGGCCAGGGTCAGGCTGCAAGCTTCTCTGAGACAGCATGTGGGGCTGACCTGGCTCTGCAATCAGGAGGACTGTGAGTCCTGAGGCTATAGTCTAGGCACACAAGAGGAGGCAGGGGCAAGACACTCCCCATGCTCCTCTGGGCTGGCCTCAGCATGCCAAGGCTGGGCTCTCACCATTAGCTCATCCTTCCTTTGAATGGAGCCAATGGCAATCAGGAGGACCGTGAGTCTTGGGGCTATAGTCCAGGCACACAAGTGGGGGCAGAGGCAAGACATTCCCCACGCCTCTCTGGGCTAGCCTCAGCATGTGGAGCCCGGGCTTTCACCACTAGCTCATCCTTCCTTCGAATGGAGCCAAAGTTAGAACTGGGCCACACTGAGATTACCTGCGTGGGGAAGCAGAGGCCCAGAGAGGGTTTGGAATGTGGGTGCGGGTGAGAGAGGTGGGATGTGGGGAAGAACCACCATTTATTAGTTACCTACTAAGGTGCGGGAGGTACTGGCTTTAATGACAGTCAGGCACCCCCAATTCCTGGATGTCTGGCCATGGGCACATTGTGTAAAATGGGTATGAAGTAGCACATATCTAGATGGTTGCCAGGAGGGCAGGGGACGTGGTACAGAGGAAACACCCAGTACCCAGTGCCAGCCACGGTAAGTGCCCGCTAACTGAAGCCCACTGTGGAAACTTTGGGGTGCCTTGGTCTGGTAGGTATGATCCCCGTTTCCAGAACAGGACAGGAGGCCCAGGGAGGTGAACGGAGGAACTCAGGGCCACGCAGCCACTAGGGACCAGAGGGACAAATGACCTGGCCCGAGGCTTGTGCTGAGGTTTTGGCCACGGGGACCACATATGGCAGGGTAGTATTTTTCTCATCGCCTTCACGTCGCGTTTCTTAATTTAAAGTGGGAAATTCCATATTGGGTGCCTCATCAATCATTTTTGTGAGCTCAGCTCCATGGAAAGCACAGAAAACATTTATATTTGCAGCTCAAACTGTCGAAAATGTAAAACAATTTAAATAATATTAACATTTTAACAGCCTCCACTCACAGCTCTGTGAAATTAACCATTATCTCTTGGAGTAGTTGTTAAAATTCAGCCGTGGGTAAGTGGTGAGACCCATGGACAGCGTGTTTAGGGGTGAGAGGAAAGGCCAGGGGGCCACCCGTGTGAGCTCCCAGGGGCTGGTCCCACCCAGGCCTCCTGGCCATTCTGCCAGGCCTGTGTCCTTGCTCAGGGGACAGACTCCTGTGGCAGGGACTGTGGCTCCTTGTGTCTCAGATGAAGACCCTCCAATTGGGCTGGGTGCTGGAGGCCTAGAGAGAAACACAGCACTGACTCTGTCCTTAAGGGACCCCGGTGGTAGGGAGGTGACTGGCAAAATGCACACTGGTGTGGGATTTGTGCTATACACAAGAAGGGAGTGCTGGGGTGTTGGGGGCACTGAGGGGAAATCAGGAGCACCTCCTGGAGGAACCTGCATCTGAGATGATTCCTTGTGGTAGGCAGGCACTATGTGAGGGAACAGATCATCTCCAAGGCCTGGCCTTGCTATAAACCTCAAGAGCCTAAGAGGGCCTGCCTTTTGTCCCAGGCAGTGAGAAAGAAGGGCCTGCAGAGCGGTGCTTGTGGGTGGTTCTGTTAAGCTCCACACACAGATCTGGGATGGGTTCGCTTGAACAGGGATGCAGATAAGGGGTGGGCACTTGCTGGGCTGTTGGGTGATCCAGGAGTGATGAGCTTGAAACACCAAGACTCAGGGAAGAATGACGTTGTTTTCAAATAACAAGAATGAGACAACTTTTCCAATGGCTTCAGCAGGACGAACTAGGCTTTGTGGGCAGATGTTATAAGGTGATAATACAATTTCCTTCCTACTACATTTTCTTTTCTGTTTTGAGTTGAGTTCTTGCTCTGTTGTCCATGCTAGAGAGCAGTGGCATAATTATAATTCACTATAGCCTTGAACTCCTGGGCTCAAGTGATCCTCCCACCTTGGCCTCCCAAAATGCTGGAATTACAGGTGTGAGCCACTGCGCTCAGCCCTACATTTTCTTACCTATTCCTTCTTTTATTATTATTATTATTATTTATTTTTTCATTTAATCTTGCTCCTTTTAATACCTATTCTTCCTTCTGCTTTCCCATAGGGTCATGATACAGTGATCAGTAATGAAATGGTGAGCTCCCCCCATTGTCAGGGGTGTCAGAGAGATGTTGGGTGACATCAAGGACTAGTAAAAAGGGATTTCTGCATCGGACCTTTATTCAGCCCCACTGTGGGCCAGGTCTTGACTAGACACCACCTCCTTGGAAAAGAGCCAGACCCAGTCGTTGCCTTTGAGGGGTGTTATAGACTGAATTGTATCCACTCCCCAAATCTGTATGTTGAAGCCCTAACCCCTAATGTGACTTTACTTAAAAATTAGTAAATGAGGTTGTAAGGGTGGAGCCCTAACCCGATAAGACTGGTGGTGTCCTTATGAGGACAGGAAGAGACAGTAGAAAGCTCACTCTCATTCTGTGAGCACACAGAGCAAAGGCCATGTGAGGACACAGCAAGAAGGTGGCTGTTCACAAGTCAGGCAGAGAGCCCACTTCAGAACCAACCCCAGTGGCACCTTGATCTTGGACTTCTAGCCTCCAGAGGGGGGTAAAGAAATGTCTATTGTTTATAGCACCCAGTTTGTGGCATCTTGTTATGGCAGCCTGAACTCACTAGTACAGGGTGTTCTTAGATGAGGGATTTGCTAAGGTTGCTGACTGTAATACAGTACCATACAGGACAGAAGTGTGCACAGAGAAGGGAGCGCCTGGCTCAGTCAGGTGGGCATCAGGGGAGGCTACCTGGAGGAGGTGGTGGTGCAACAGAATAAAGAGAATCTGGTCATGAAGAGAGGAGGAGGAAGGAGGGGAAGCAGAGGTGGGGGGGACAAGGTGCAAAGACACAGAGGTGTTAAAAGCATAGGTTTGGGGACACCAAGAAGAATTCTATATGATTGGAGAGCAGGGTTAGAAGAGGATTTGAGAGGAGAGAGGAGGCTGGGGCACAGGTGGGCCCACCGACGAGGGAGGACCCTTCTTTATCTTTCTGAGAAGATGATTTAGAGACTCCCACCTGACAGAGGACTCCATGATCAGTGACTAACTTGCTGTGTGACCTTAGGCAAGTCACTTAACCTCTGCGCACCATAATGCTCTCATTTGTAAAACCGGGCAAAGCATGGCTGCCCTGCCTGCCACCCGGCTGCTTTGTGGGCTCAATAAGCGAGCGCGTGTGAAAGCACTCTGGTGAAAGCCCCATAATAGCGCCACGGAAATGGAAGGTGTTATTATTATGTAACCGCGCTGACTCCCGTCAGACAGTGTGGAGTCAATTGGAGGCTTGAGGGATGTCAGGGAATTGGCTGCTCTCTGAAGCTTGTCATAGAGACCTGTCTTTTCATTGTACTCCTTTCATGTCACTGTTGGCCCGATGAAAGAAGGGGAGAGAATCTTTGATATGTCTAAATATTCCGCTCCCACCAAGATGGGAGGAATTCCGAGGAAGAGCTATTATTAGAGGCTGAGCTGGAGGCAGGCGCCTACGTGGATCAGAGGCTGTCAGTTTGCACAAACAGCCTCCCGCACTTCCCAGGCTGCTGCGGGCCTTGGCACAGAGTAGGTGCCAACCGTGCTGGTTGTATTGCAGTGGCACTGCCCAGGCAGGCAGAGGACCAGCTTCTGGTTCCCATTCTGCATCCACTTTGCTGGGCAACCCCAGAGCCAGTCACTTACCCTCTCTGAGCCAAGAAAGATGTTATAGTGCTTCCTGATGGTGAGTGCTTTTATGAGCGGGGAAGATAAGATGCTGTATGGTACAGAGATCTGGGCGGGCCAAAAAGTGACTAAGCACAGGCTGCTGACATTTTGGGTATGATGAGGCCAGGGAATTTCCTCTCTGGGAAGGATGCATTAGGATTTGGTTCTTCCTAGACCTTGTGTCAGAACCACCTGGGGGGTTTGAAAAATCAGATTCCCTGGCATTACTCCAGGCTTAGAATCAGAATCTCTGGAGGTGAGGCCTGGGACTGTCTTCAGCAAGCTCCGTAGTGGTGTGGATGCAAGTGGCTCAGCACTGGTCCGTGCTCCTGCATTTACAAAGGCTTGGACCAGGTCAACTGTCTGGGCTGGGGACACTGTGATTCCATGGCAACAGGGCAGGGCACCCTGCCTAGTGCTTGACCCAGTGAGTCCAGCCCTTTTCCTGTTTACTTCTAGGCCACATTAAGTCCTCCAGGAGCCTGTGGGTGGGTCCTGGACCCACTAGTCCATGAACTGGGGAAATGATGGTTGTACTCTGGCTCCTGGCCAGCTCCAGCTGGGCATGATGTCTTCCATACCAACCCTATATAGATTGCCATGCCTAGATGGAGCCTGCCATGTCTGGCTCAAGACTTATAGAGACCAACTGGGGAGGGCTTCTGGCAGGTGAAGAATGGGCCTCTTTGGACTCATTTTCAATGACTTGTCAAAATCACTTGTCAAAGTGCCTTCACTGACAGGGAGCCTCAGAGAAAGGCCTGGAGGTACCACCTGAAAACAGCTCCCTGTTTCAAAGGTGAGGAAATGGGCTAAGAAGGGCCAAGTTGGTTTGTTACTTTCACTAGAACCCTTGTCCTGTTGGATTAACCCTGGGACCTGGGTGAACTTGAAGAAGGCAGAGCCTGGTCAGGCGCACAGAATTGGAGACTATTTTGTGTTCTAATGCAGGCTGACATCCTGGGGATAGATGATAGCCTGTCCCTGGCTCTCATGGGCCTATTGAATCTCTAGGCTCGGCACATCACAGTCCTCCCAGTGCTTGCCTTCTCTCCACTACCACAACAACTGGCTACCAAGGAAGAATAAGAGCAGCGCTTCTTGCCTTGGCTGCCCACTAGAGTTTCCTGGTGCACTTCAAAAAATCCCGATACCCAGCCACACCCTTGACCAATCAAGTCAGTATCTCAAATGTGGGACCCAGGTCTCAGTAAATATTTTTAAAGCTCCCTAGTGATTTCATTGTGAAGCTACAGGGAGAACTGCTACTTTAGAGTGGTGATTCTCTACAGGGGGTGATTTTGTCACCTAGGGGACACATGGCAATGTCTGGAGACATTGTTGATTGTTACAACTGGGGAAGTACTACCGGCATCTGGCTGGTAGAGGCCTGGGGGATGTTGCTAAACCCTCTAAAGTACATAGGACTGCCCCTACCACAGAGAACCATCCAGCCCCAAATGTCAGTAGTGGTGGGATTGAGAAGCCCTGCCTTGGATGAAGTGGGGGAGGTGACCTTGCTCACCGTTCAGCCTTGCAGGCTGACCATCTCCCTCTTACATCTTCCCAGCCCCCTTTGAAGGGAGCCTCTCCCAGCATACTAAAAGTTTCCCAGTGGGTGTGAGCAGCTCTCAGCGTATTAGCCACCTGGGTTTTCTGCCATGTCCAATACCAGTCATTGAGACAACCATCAAAATCACAATGATCTTTCACCTTTACTAAATGAAAAGCTAAGGCAAACTGCTCTCAGATGAAATGGAGGGGGTAGAAGCCTGGAGAAGTGCCTAGAGCTGGAGGGATATGATTCAGATGCATGAAACAAACATCCCCAGATCAAAGTTAATTTCTTCCTCCTGTAAAGAAGTCTGTTGGTGTGGAGCCCAGGGCTGGAATGACGGTTCATGTGTCAGGGACCCAGGCTCCTTCTGACTTCTTGCTCCCCCATCCTCAGCACACAGGCCCCCACTGAGGTCCAAGAGGGATGTTGGAGCTTTCAGAAGGACTATGCTTTTCTTCTCCTTCCAGGACTGGTGGAGGCACCCAGCCCTCCTGATACTTCCGTATGGCTCATATAATAATCCTGTGAGGAACAGAGAGTAGGTGTCATATCCGTCCATTCTACAGATGCATAAACTGAGGCTCAGGGACTTTGAGTATATGTCAAGTTAGAAGTGGAATTCAGGACTTCCAACTTTCCTAATGGTGGTCTTTCTCCTGCAGGGGACTGAGGGGGACACACCCCTTCCTCATCTAAGCCTTTTACATCTCAGATCTGGTGAATTTTTCTGACTCCTTCAAGGCAGGGCATGCCTACACATATGGTGTTTACCCCCTGAGTTTAAGTGACATTATGGCTAGATGACATAAGACAGTGGCTTTTTCTTTTTTGAGACAGGGTCTTGCTGTGTTGCCCAGGCTGGAGTGCAGTGGCATGATCATAACTCACCGCAGGCTTGAACTTCTGTTCTCAAGCGATCCCCCTGCCTCAGCCTCTGGAGTAGCTAGAACTACAAGTGCACGCCACCATGCCTGGCTAATTTATTTATTCATTTTTGCTTTTTGTAGAGGCAAGGACTCACTATGTTGCCCAGGCTGGTCCCAAACTCCTGGCCTCAAGCAATCCTCCTGCCTTGGCCTCCCAAAGCATTGGGATTATAGGCATGAACCACCATATCTGGCCTATGGTGGCTCTTAAGGCATTCTAGACCAGCAACATCAGAATCATCTGGGAGCTTGTAAGAAATATAGATTCTTGGGCCAGATGTGGTGGCTCATGCCCAGCACTTTGGGAGGCCGAGGCAGGCAGATCACTTGAGGTCAGGAGTTCAAGACCAGCCTGGCCAACATGGTGAAACCCCATCTCTACTGAAAATACAAAAATTAGCCAGGTGTGGAGGTGCATATCTGTAATCCTAGCTACTCAGGAGGCTGAGGCAGGAGAATTGCTTGAACCCAGGAGGCAGAGGTTGCGGTAGCCAAGATCACACCACTGCACTCCAGCCTGAGGTACAGAATGAGACTCTGTCTCCAAAAAAAAAAAAAAAAAGAAAGAAAAAAGAAATATAGATTCTTGCAGCCATCTGTTTGAACAAATCTCTGTGTGGTTCTGAGCCCTGCCCTCTAAGGTTTGAGAGGCTCTGCTCTAAGCGATCCTGGAGACCGCTTTGCAAATCCCAGTCCTAGAGAGGCCATGTGAATTTCCAGAGGCTGCAGTCAGTCCCACACAGGAAACAGCTGGAATTCCAGGACCCCAGCCAGGACCCGTATAGGACTTAAGGCCAGGGCTAGGTGAACAGGCTTTATTAGCAATGGTAAGCTCAGCTGCTGAGACAAAAATCAGCCAAATCAGTAGCTAGAAAAATAATGTCCAGGTTGCAGGCTGTCCCGGCCCTCACAGTCTTCCAGGGGCCCTCTTTCTGATTTCTCTCCCATCTTCTCATAGGGCATTGTCCTCATCTCTCTTGTGCACACTGTGGGGAGGGAAAAAGGACCCAGGACGTTCTTAAGTGCCAGATTGGAAGCAGCAGACATCACTCTCACCGGCATTCCAGACCTCAGTCATGTACACAGGAGGCCAGAAATGCTGTCCAGCTAGACAGCCAAGGCCCAACTACCTCTGACCCCCGATTCCCCACCCTTCTCCTCACTTACTACATTCTGGCCACTGTTCCATCCAAGGGCCCACACTCTTCCTACCTCAGGCCTTTTTGCAGGTGCTGGTCCCTCGGCCAGAAATGCTTTGCCCACCCTTGTCACCTTCCCTGACCAGCCTATGAGCAGTGAATGCTCTCCTTGGTATTCTCTGTCTCAGCCTCCTGTTTGTTTCCTTTGCTGGGATATGACTTGAGTTTGCATCTTTGTCTGATTACTCAAAGATCTTGGGCCCATTTCTTCCACTGGCTCTAACCTAGACCTGTGGCATCAGAATCACCAGGGGTGCAAATTCTCCAGCTGCACCCCAGATCTACTGAATCAGAAACCATGGGGGTGGGGTCCACCAATCAGTGTTTTTAAAAACCCTCCAGGTGATTCTCATGTACAGCAAAATCAAAAAATAGTTCTCTGAGGCTGGAATCTGGGCATCTTCAGGTCTACATGGCCCATCGGTGAATCTCTGTGGAATACAACTGCACCCTCCACTCCATAAGCCTACTCCTTGGACTACAACATGGAGAGAGGGAGTTGGGGAGGTGTGACCATGGGAATAGATGCAGAATTGGCAAAGAAGCAAGACAGACTGACCCCCAGGGAGCATGCAGCAGCCACACGAGACAGTGCATCATGGAGCATTAGGAGGAGGGGAAGAGAGTGGACCATAAGCATCAGAGGATGGAACTCCTGGTCAGGAGAAGGGAGGTGAAGCGCCGGTCCTTCCACCACTAGCTGGGCAACTGGGGCAGGCTCTCTCTCTTGACCTCAGTTAACACAACTCTAAAATGGGGCAATAGTGATACTTCACAGCCTTTCTCCATTAAACAAAACAATGTGTGAAGAGTGAGATCAATGAAACTCCTAACTGCCTTTTATTGAGCACCCACTATGTGCCAGGCCTGGGCCAAGCACTGTATGATTTCATCTTCACATCAGCCTTTTGAAATAAGTTCTAAATCACTTCCAATTTGCAGATGAGAATGCTGAGGCCTAGAGCTCTTCAGTCACTTGCCTAGGGGTAACACCAAAGCAGTAGCTGGCAGGGCTGGGTCGAGGTGAGAGGACATCAGTGCTCTTATTCTGCCTGACAATGAGCTGTGTTCTGTTCCTCATCGCTCCCCCAGCACAGCCAGTCAGGAAGGCAAGAAGTGCTGCTGCCCGGGCCTTTGGGTGTGTCTGCTCCTCGGCCTTTGAGGACTCATACAGGAAGCAGGCTTGATGCATGCTTGTCAAGTGGAATAGAACCAAGGGAGAAGAGAGTGCCCTCAGCCTAGCCCCCTAGGGAGTTCCACTGCACAGTGCCATCAGAAGTGGTTCTGCCTCTGCAGGGCCTGGTCCCACCTGTCTCACCATGTCAAGGCTGGGCAAGGCTGCCTGGCTAAGGGGAATGCATTGCTTCCCAGACCTGTGCATAGTCGTGCCCACCTAGCTGTGTTGTAGGAGTCAGAATCAGGTGTGCAGAGAGGCAAGCAGGGCTCTTGCCTTTAGCGGATGCTCCATTGAGAAGTTGTTCATGCATTCGTTCATTCTTGCCATCCTCAGCATGTTCACTGACCCGCAGTAAGAGATGATGCCATCTACCAACCTCGGCATCCTGTGTAATATTTAGACACATCAATGGCTAATTTTAATGCAAAATACTGGGGGCAGGGCAGTGCAGAGCAGGGACTACTTCTGCCTGAGGATGGAGTAGGGGACAGCGGAGGCTGCAGGGAGGCTTCAAAGAGGAGGTGACATTTACCCAGCATCTTTAAGAACATTACCCCTCACTCTCACCTGTTCTTACCCTGCCATTTGAACTCACCCAAGCCTCCCACTACCCCTCACACACCCATGCACATATGCATAGCACCACAACTGTTAGCCAAACCCCTGCACCAGCACCAGCGAAGTTCCACCTGCATGAAGTGCTTCCTAGGTGCTGGTGGAGGCCATCCAGGTAACCCATGGGTCAAATTCCACCTCGAAATGAATTTTTTTTCATCTCACAGTGTTTAAAGTTTTAAACTTCAACACTTTACGAGCCAGAGATTGCATACTAATAGTTCAGAATTTTCACTTTCTCTAGAAAAATGAGAAGTCTCTCCAGCCCCAATGACGGCAAGCACCCTGGAGCTGAGGGGGCTGAGTGGCGGCTGTGCCCTTTGGACAGGTGAGTGTGCTCCAGTCCTGGGCTCCCCACCTGCTGCACACATCTGGAGTCTACCTGGGCCGGAGAGACATTTGACTTTAAGACCTCTGTGTCTCTCTCACTGGGTCCTGTGGAATTTGCCCAGGAATGGCTGTGAAATACCCCTACTCCTTTTGCTCCCATTAAAGGGGGCATATCAGAATGGGAGTGGCAGTTGTAAAAGTAATAAGTCATTTACAATAATCAGCATTTATATGAAATGACTGTGACACATCTCCCACATGACTGGGTCACCTGCATGTGATGTGACTCCAGGGCTCTTAGCACAAAGCGTCATGGCAAACTATGCCTGGCTCTAACTCTCACTGGCATTTTGGGGGACATCAAAGCTCAGTACAGACTCTGCCCAATCAATATAGAAAAAAAGTAAAACTGATTAGAAAGGCGACGACCTCCAAGGGCAACTATGTGCCTGTTCCCATTTGCCCTGACAATACTTAACGCCTTTACCAAAGAGAAATCTTCTCAGCTTGAGGCTGCATGTTTTTTGAATCCCAGATATACATATACATATATATATGTGTGTGTGTGTATATATATATGTATATATATGTGTGTGTGTGTGTATATATATATATATATATTTTTTTTTAAATCAGGCAGCAGCTCCCAGTTTTCTCACCTAGGGGTAGCTGGTGGCCAAGAGGAAAGAGGAGTTGTCGTAAGTCAATTTTTTCCCTGGCTTTCCTTTCTAAAGCCACCCCTGAGGGGATGATGCTGGAAGTGGGAGAAGGAGGAAGGGGAGAGGGAGAGCTCCAAGGGAAACAGGAATAGGGAGAAAAGGTGCTTCCTGGCCCCTGGAGATGTCTCCAATGGGTGCAGGTTTCGTAAGTAGTGGGACCCCAGCTTTCCCTGCAGCAAACCAGGAGGAATGGCTCGGTGATTTCCAGTAACCCTGAAGGTTTCCAGCCCCAGTGTGGGACAAAAGTAGAGTGCAGGGCACCTAAAAAGACTAAGGCTGGGAACAGTGATTGTTTCTGAAGTAAGCAGAGGGGTTCGAGGACCCGAGGTCTTCCCAAAGCCTACATTTTGTGTAAGACTCCGTGACCTTCACATAATTTTTGCCTGGGGGGAAGAGCACCTGGCCGTGATGCACTAGGGTTACATTTCCAGGCAGCATTGCAGAAGGAGGGCTCCAGAATTCAAAGCTACAATGATTTATGGAAAAGGCTAAATGGGATTCTTCCTGTAAGCTTGAGTTTGAAGACTGAGGTTCTTGCCTCCAGAGTAGATATTGAGGCAGATTAGTTCCAGAATTGGGTTACGGTGTTCAGAGATGGCTAATGTGTATTGTCTAGAGGGCCAACTCAGGCTGGGAGGGGCTCTCTAGGGCTTTGTGTTAAGAGGGATTCTGAGGCAGTCTTGGCTGGCTGGGGGGAAAGCAAGCCTTCATTGATTAGTGAGCTGTAGCATGGATGTGATTTTTGGTCTTATTTAACCCTTTCATTTTATAAGCAAAGTAATTGAGGACTGGAAGAGTTAAACCTTTGGCCTAAGATTGGGGCAGAGCTGGAACCAACCAAGAACTTCTGATGCTAGTGCTTGTGAAATCCTGACAAGATAAGAAAGCAACAAGGAGGAAGGAATTCTAGGTGGGGGAGAACAATTGCTCTGGGAGACAGCTCATCAAAAACAACCTGCTAGCACAACATCCTGTTCCCAAAACCCTGTTCCACATGTAACCTTTCCAGCACAACCTTATAAAACTTCCCTCCAGCCCCTTTGCAGGCAGCCCCTTCTCTGCTGTGCTGCCCTTTGCACCCTTGCAACCCTTTCTCTAATAAATTTGCCTTTCTTTACCTATGACTGTCTTGGTGAATTCCTTTAGTGCCTGCCACACCAGCCCCAGCCAGTTGCATCCATGGCAGTGCTCTTTAACTGACAAAAATTCAGTGAGCATTTTTCATACCCTATTTTGTGCTGGTTTGTGTTAGGTGGTGGGGCAGTTCAAATATAAAAATATTAAAAACATGGTATTAACTGCCTACCATAACATTTCTGATGCTCATGAGACTATTACATGACTAATATTTATATTAGAGTATATTAACAGCTTTTGCATAAACCTCAGCATTTTATGAACTAGTTCAATATAGTACTCCACAGGGGGAGCCTCCTTGCAGTCAATCAGGGGCCCAGGTTCTTTCTATCTTGTAGCTCTGCCACCTCCCAGGGCCACATGGTTCTCTGCCTGCAGATGAAGAAGTGAGAGCGAGTGTGGAGGACTGTGTGGACAGTTTCTGGGCTGGGCTGGGTACATGGCTTCTACCCCATGGTCTATGGGCCAGAACTTAACCACCTGGCCACACCTACCTGCAAGGGTTGCTGGGAATGTAGGTTCGTTGTGTGATGATGGGAAAAGAGAAGGGGGCTTGAAGGAGATTTGCCATGCCCGTTTTAAAGAGGAGACCGAGACTCAGAGATTTAAGTAGCTTGCCAAGGGTCAACCAGCTAGTAAGAGGCAAATGCAGAATTTGTATGAGTTTGCTAAGGCTGCCATAACAAAAGTACCACACACTAGGAGGCTTAAACAATAGGAATGTATTGTGTCATTGTTCTGAAAACCAGAAGTCAGAAATCTAAGTGTTAGAAGGTTCAGTTCCTCCTGAGGGTTGAGAGAAAATCTGTTCCATGCCTCTCCCCTGACTTCTGGTAGCCTTAGGCACTCCTTGACTTGTAGACGGCATTCTCTGTCTTCACCTTGTCTCCCCTCTATGTGTTTCTGTCTTTGAGTCCGAGGACACCAGTCACACTAGATTAAAGCCACCCTAACAGCCTCATCTTAACTTGATCATGTGCAAGAACCCTATTTCCAAATAAGGTCATATTCACAGGTACCAGGGCTAGGATTTGCACGTCTTTTGGGGTGAACACAATTCAGCCCATAACAGAATTCAAATGCAGGTTTTTCTGTAGGTCGTAAAAAGGACGTGATGAGTCAGCCTGGAGGATTCAAAGAAGGCTTCCCAGAGAGACTCATGTTCAAGCTGGGCACTGAGGGTAGATCAGGAGTTCTCCAGGTGGAAAAATGGGTAGGGGATTCTAGAAAGAGGCATGAGGTAAGTCTCTGTTCATGTGCACAAAAGAAATAACCTGCATTTCTTTGTAGACATCCTAGAATTCAGTTGTGGACGAATTTATACAATCTTTCTCCTTTGAGTTTAAATTGGCAGGGCCTATCTGCCCAATTGAGGCAAACAGCAAATATATGTGGAGTACCACTTTGTGATAAGACATATGCAATGCCCTGGGGTCTCAGAGGAGAATCAAACAGAGTCCCTGCTGCCCTGGAGCTTACAGCCCAGGTCAGCATTCAGTGAGCCTACATGAAAGATAACTAACGAAATGAGAATAAGACATGTATGTCATAAGTCTGAAGTAAGTGGGACAGATAGAAAGTTTTATTGCCATTCACAGGAGAGGGACAGCTTGGCGGCCTGGAGCAATCATGGAAGGCTTCCTGGTGGCAGACTCTAGGACTGGGATTTGATAGAGGGCTTGGATATGGCAGTGGGTAAGGGCTGCGGCATTCTAGACAAGGAGAACAGCATAGCCAGGACTGCTGGAAGCCAGGCTGGGGTTGGAGAATGGCAAAATCTCGAGTGCCAGCCCAGGAGGTTGGGTTTTATGCTCAGGGCCCTGGTTTCACCACCTGGCTGCTGTCATTCTTCTGCTGGTGGGCAGATTGCATGTGAGCCTGCACCACTGGAGCTGCACCCAGTTTGGCCAGCACTGTGGCACATCCTGACGACACAGACCCTGGGGCCTGCAGGGACCAGCAGGGGTGGTAGGAATGGCTCCTGCATTTGGGACAGGCGCCAGGAGATGACTGTTAGGGCTGCGGCTCCAGTGACTAGATAAGAACAGACATCAAAAGCAGGCAATTGCTGTTCTTCCCACAAAGGGCACCCTGGGAGGGGTGGCCCTGCTAAGAGCTCAGCTCAGCAGTCTCCCTGTGGGGGGCCGGGGATGGCTGTGTCATGGCTGCAGCCCCCAATTCACAGTTATTAAGCTAAATGACTGCCTCCCAAGCACAGTGGCACCAACCCTCCATCAGTTCACAGACCTCCCTGGGAGCTCTGCTTTCATCCCTCAGCGCCACCTCGCCTCCCTCCCTGGCCTTCAGAAGGTGGAAGGGCTGCTCTTCCCCACTGGCTGGGAAGGGAGAAGGCCTTCCTCTCAGGGAGGCAGGAAAGAGTTGATTAAGACAAACCCACAGCAATGCCTCCTCTCCCAGGGGCCCTGGTGTGAGGGCAGAGGATGCAGGTAGAGTCCTGGGCTGCACAACAGGCGCCTGGTTCTAGTCCTGGCCCAGCACTGATCCACTGGGGAAACCTGGGCCCGTCAGTCCTCCCTCTGTCTCAGCTTCCTCTCCAACAAATGGGGAAAATGACATTGATGTGTGGATAAAATATTTTCTTACTGGATAAGAAAGAGCTTTCAAGACAAACATTCTGCCTTTTGAGTGTTTTGGAAAATATATAAGCAATACAATTCTAGTTTTTCAAACAAACCTAGTAAGGAAGGGGTGACTCAGGTCAGCAACCCTCCTACTGGCACGAAGGGTCCCAGAAGTAAACAGTCTCTGACTCCATCCCATTTGTGTGTTTACAAATCTTAAATTACATGATCAAGAACCAGGGACCAGACAACCAGAACCTAGCCGTCACCAATTAAGAAGTCAGGATTAAGGACTCGTGGACTGACGGTAGATGCCAGTGGAAACGCTAATCCCTGTGAACCTTTCCAGGAACACATTGATACAGTGAATGTTTTCACTCAGCCAAGAAAGTCTCCTTGAAAGCTCTGCTCTTCTAGGAAGGCCTCCCAATTTCTCCTGTGCAACACTGCACGGGAGGGGTTTGCTAGTGTGTCTGTGTCTTTCCTAGATGTGAGTGCCTTTGGCTTGGAAACCACATCATTGCTGTGCCCCCAGAACCTGGCACAGTGCCTGGTGGGAGTAGGTGGTCAGGGAGCAAATGTGAATCAAAATTCTGTCTGAGCCCCTGCCGGGGCACATCAGTGATGTCCAGCAGCATCAGGCACTGTAGGGGATGCTGAGGACTGGTCTGATTATTGCTCCAAACGTGTGCCCTGGAGGAAAACGGAGAGTGGCTAACAGGGTTGGGCAGTGTGGACAGAAGGTGGGCATGTGAGGGACTCCAGGAAGGGGGTCAGGGGGCTTCTCAAGAGAGGCACTTGGCTTGGACTTTGAGGGATGGGCAGGCATTAGGCAGTTGGAGGAATGAGGGTATTCCAGGGGAGCAGAAACATGACTGAGTGCCTGGAGACTGCCAGGAACTTTATGAAGCATGTCCCGTTCTATCCTTCCCACACCGGTGTGTAGACAATATTATCTCCATCTTGCAGACGAGGAAGTGCAGGCTTTGCAAGGCTAGGTGATTTTTTTTATGTTCGCACACAGAGGTGGGTTTGAGTTCAGGTCTGTTCATCTAATGGGGACACTAGGACATGGGCAGAGACAGGAGAGGGTGTAGTCAGAGAGCAGAGGGGGACTAGGAAAAGGGACAGGCTAGAGACACTATGGGGCCTCTCCTTTCCAAAATAATTTCTCAGATCTCATATTTGGCCCTGGGGCTTCCAGCCTGATAGGTTAGATTTTGCCCCCATCAGACAGTAAGGAAACTAAGACTTAGAAAAGGGATGTGTTTTGCTGCTCTGCCAGAGATGGTTTAGGATAGGTACAGACAAAAAGGGGTGTCTCCACCAGGATGTCAGCTCTGCAAGGGTAGGGCTGCACTGGCTTGCTCAGCATCGCACCTCCAGGGTCAGAGTAGAGCCTGAGTCACAGCAAGCGCACAGTAAATGTTGCAAAATGAACATGTGAATAAATGTAGGGGACTTCCAAGGAGAGAGAGAGAGACAGAGAGAGACAGAGTATGTGTGTGTGTATGTGTGTATGTGTGTGTGTGTGAGTGACAGTTTGTGTATGTGTGTGTGTGAGAGACTGTGTGTGCATGTGTGTTTGTGTGAGAGAGAATGTGTGTGTGTTTGTGTGTGTGTTTTTGAGAGACAGTGTGTGTATGTGTGTGTGAGAGAGAAGTGTGTGTGTGTGAGACAGAGAGAGACTGTGTGTGTGTGAGAGAGAGACAGAGAGAGACTGTGTGTATGAGAAAGAGAGTGTGTGTGTGTAT
This sequence comes from Homo sapiens, assembly GCF_000001405.40. NCBI lineage: Eukaryota > Metazoa > Chordata > Mammalia > Primates > Hominidae > Homo > Homo sapiens. Next base: position 78,197,427 of record NC_000010.11, read on the forward strand.
TTGTGAGAGAGAGAGAGAGAAAGAGAGAGAGAGAAGCTGACAGTGCTGCCTTTAGATGAAAACCTGGATGATCTTAGAAGTTCTCCAAAGGGTGCTTTCTCACCTGTAACACAGAGAGAGCTACAGGCAGTGAATTTATTAAGAGCTTGCTCTGTCCTGGAAACTGAGCAAGGCTCCAGGGACACAGACACACTAATCACACTAATCCTGTCATGGAGTTTATAGAATTTGTGGAAGACAAACACTCATTGCTCATCCAACAGATGGCAGAGGTGATGGGGCAGCATCCTAGGCCACGGGGAGAGAGTAGAGAATGAGATAGTCAAGGTCCCTATCCTCAGAAAGCTTACTTTTTTAGCTGGGGAGGACAGAGAATAAATCAGAAAGCAACCAAAACCAAAATGAAAATGAAACCAGAGGTGCCAGATGACCTGGGACAGTGACAATTGCAATGAAGATAACAAAAGAGGGGAAGAGTGATTGGTCTGGGGACTGGTGGAAAGAGGGTCAGGAAAGGCCTCTCCCAGCAGGTGCCATTTGAACTGAGTCCTGCTTGGTGCACCTAAGCCAGATGGGGAAGATTTGGAGAAAGAGCATTTCCAGTGGAGCAAACAGCATGTGCAAAGGCCCTGAGGTAGGTCTGGGCTTGCATTCTGAAGGAATAGAAGGAGGCTGCTGTGGCTGGAGCCCATTGAGTGATCAGGGGAGAGGAGGGAAGGAGAGGAGGCTGAGATGGAGAGGCGGGACCCATCATGCAGGGCTGTGCCTGGTGGGTGGAGTTTTTTAACTGCTACAGGAGGGATTTGGTCAGGCTAGCCATAACAGTCCAACATGTAAGTGTTGACAAAACAAGGAACTCTACTAATGAAGTGCTGCAAGAGGCTATGAAGGCGAAGTGTAAGATGCCATGGTAGCAATTGTGTCGCCAAGAGGAGAAGCAACAGGACCAGATGGGCTCCTTAAAAGGGACACACTGGAAGGGGGTGAGTGACGCAGCAGAGACATTAGTGCTGAGGTTGGCTGAAGCCAGAGTTAAGGAGGTGGCAGGGAGGATGCGCAAGTGTGAATAGATGGCTGAGTTTCCTTGGATCCGGTAGAATCTGCAGGCCTGGTTGGTCCCAAGACTGTCGTAAGAAAAGGAGGGCCATGCTGGGAGCTGGAAGAAACCTGCAGCAGGTTGGTGGTTGAATGGAGTCCCTTCACAAGTTCTGTCTATTGGAACCTCAGAATGTGACCTTATTTGGAATAAAGGTTTTTGCAGATGCAACTAAGGTAAGGATCTCAAGGTGAGATCATTCTGCATTAGGCTGGTCCCTAAATCCAATGACAAGTGTCCTCATAAGCAACAGAAAAGATGCTGAGACACAAGGAGGAAGGGAAATGAAGACAGAGGCAGAGATCTGAGTGATGTAGCCACAAGCCAAGGATCTCCAGGAGCCCCCAGAAGCTGGAAGAGGAAAGAACGGTTCTCCCCTGGAGCGTTCAGAGGGAGCCTGGTGCTCCTGACACTTTGATTTCAGACTTGTGGCCTCCAGAGCTGTAAGAGGTTGCATTTCTGTTGTGTTAAGCCACTAAGTTTGTGGTAATTTTCTGTGGCAGCCCTAAGAAACGCAGACAATGCCCTGTGAGAAGCCCCAGCTCATACTGCTCCTGTGATTATGGCTCTCTGCTTGGATCTGTTTTGAAGAGCTCTGCTCTGTTCCTATTTTGCTGCACTCCCCCCTCCTCTTCCCGCCCCCCCAACCATCTATATTAGAATAAGATTGAATTTTCTAGCTTGGGTTACTAAGCTTTCAGATCTCCAAAGTGTGGCCATTAATCAGCTGTCATGGGATGTCGTAAACAAGGGGCTTTAAAAACCATGTTTGCTTTTTAGGCTGATAATACTTGGAGGTGAAGCTGGGAGAGTTATACATAATGCATGCATTTTAATGGGCCACGCACTAGAGCCCTCTTTAGTCCGAATGATTCGTTTTAATGTTCAAAATAAATATCAGAGACAATTTGCCAACAAAGCCGATTTTCTCCGCCCGCCATTAACTTAATCTTTATACCTCAGCCTAATGACAGAGGGGCTGGGGGGCAGAAGGAGGGCTTTGGATTGCAAATAAGTGGGGAAAAGCAGTTGGCATGGTCACGGGCCATGGGGTGACTGCATGTCTCGGATTGTACAGGATAGTCCTGATTTATGCCCAATGTCCTGGAGATATTCTGAGGTTGGTTTGAGTGCTGCTGCCAATATTTAAATGTTTTTGATGGACCAAATAACAAGTTCATATGGTTTAACCTAAATATATAAATAGCTCTTGGTTTGTTTGATAACTTACATGGTTATGGTAAATATGCCCTTTATAGGTGGGGAAACTGAGGCACTGAGAGCCAAAGAGCATTGCCTGGGGACATGGAGCTCCATGGAGGCTGAGCTCCAGGCTCCCTGGGTGCTCCTGCTCCCAGCCCAGGTGATTTCCTCTTGGAGTGTGTCCAAATTGTCACTGCCCTCTCTCTGCCCCAGCTTGTCCAGCTCCTGCCTGCTCTTGGGCTCTCAGCCTCAAGGGCTTCTTGCTGCACCTTTGGAAGGTAAACCTTGAAGGCACTCTTTGTTCTGCCCCAGGTCTCCTGGGGTGGTGATGCTTGAGGAAGGATCAGCAAACCCACTGTCCAAACCTGGGCATGGCACCGTGGTGCATATCAGTCTTGATCACCCGCAATATGGAACCATGGAGACTAATCACACATACTTACAGTTAAGTAATTTTGGATAATTGACACATATTTGGAGTAAGGTATGATCCTTGCTTTTTTGAAGGTTACTGAAGGTAGGATGGGGAAACAAGATGAATATTCCTCCATATTTTGAGGTTGATTTTTTGAATTCACTTATTTTTTTTTTAAGAGACAGAGTCTTAGTCTGTTGCCCAGGCTGGAGTGCAGCGGTCTTATCATAGCTCACTGTAGCCTTGGACTCTTGGGCTCAAGTGATCCTCTTGCCTCAGCCTCCCTAGTACCTGGGAGCTAGAGGTGCGCACCACTATGCCTGGCTAATTTTATTTGTTTATTTTTGTATGGACAGGGTCACTTCACTATATTGCCCATGCTGGTCTTGAACTCCTGGCCTCAAGTGATGCTCCTGCCTTAGCCTCCAAAGCACTGGGGTTACAAGCATGGGCCACCCTGCCCAGCCTGGAATTATTTATTCTTTCTTTTATTCATTTAATAACTATGGAGTCCTCAAGTGCCAGGTGTTCGGCTGTGGTCAGGATAAATTCACCTAAATATCCAGATTTCTGGCATTCTGGAAAAATGGTCAGATTTGGCTCCCCACCCCGCGTTCTTGCCTGGCAGCTCTTGGCTGGCACAGAGCTGTGGCACCCTCCCAGCCTCCCTTCACGTAGCCCATATTATTCTCCTCTGTGCCACCTGCCTGGCCCCAGCAGGCACTTGAGTTTGGGAACACTGGTTGATCTCTGCCTCCTATATACCAAAACTGGGCATATAGTAGGTGCCAAAAAAATTCTTGCCATTTGTTGCATGAAACTGACTCCAGATGGTTCTCCTTAAAAGGTCCTCATCTTCCTTCAAACACTTCCACAGCTCCATCCATGTGTTCTGGAGGAGAACAAGTGCTAGCTCCTCCATGAGTGAGCTCAGCTTGGGGAGGGGACCCTGATGGGCCAACACCCAACCTGGGCATCCTAGAAGTGGGTACGCACACCATGGGCACATCAGCCTTGGTGAGAATGCAAACCTGCCCCCCACCCCCGACATCTATCAAAACTTGAAAATTTCATGCTCTTTGGCCCAGGTATTCCAGGGCCACATTCCACAGATGAGTTTGCAGAAGTGCATCAGGATACAGATGCAAGCCTGAGGGTTACAAAATTGTTTGCAGCAGCAACTAGAAACCCCAAAATGTCCATCAGAAGGGCGTAAGTATGTGAGACATGGTGCTTCCATGCCAACGGCTCTAGGAGAGAATGGGGCAGATATGGAGATATGTGCTGATATGGAGAGATTCAGAGATGCATTTTCAGCAAAATAAAGCAAGGAGCAGAGCAGTGTGTATGAACACATTTTGTGTATAAAAGACAAGTGAAAGCATGGGTTGATGTGAACGCTGGCTCTGCCACTTACCCACTGTGTGACTTGGGCAAGTCACTTAACCTCTCTGGGAGTCATTACCTAGGCTGTAAACTGGAACTAATAATAGCGTCTCATCATAGAGTTGCTGTGATATCTCATGCATTAATATATAGAGAGAGCATGAAAAGAGCTGGGGCCAGAATAAGACCTCTTTGGCTGTTATTATTACTGTATATGCACATATATGTCTTTATATTCTGGAAGAACACAAAATATTAGCAGGAGATAGTTTTGTTATTGAGAGAGGTTTGGAAGGAGAGATCTTTTTATTTTACATCTTTATGAACAGTTCAAAATTTTTATCATAGGCATTTTTAAAACTTTTATTTCAAAATAAGCGAAAACAAATTGACCAACCACCAGGGAGGAATCTCTTTCTGTCTGGGGTAAAGTGGGAGCTGGGAAAGTTAACTGAGGAGGTTGCCTCGGAGCTGGACCTTAAAGGATCACCCAGGCAGAGAAAAGAGCTGAAGGACGGGCATTCCGGCTGGGAAAACCAGCATGCATGAACGTCCAGAGGCAGGAGTGATCAGAGGGAGTAGTGAGGGCTCAGATTTGGGGATCACAGATGAGCAGCTGAGATGAGACTGGAGGGATCAATGAAAGAGTTTGTGGGCAGGGTTCAGACCTCCTGTACTCAAATCCATGTTTGCTTTTAGGTGATGAAGAATAGATGACATATTTTTTAGCTGGATACAGAAATGCAACATGCGCATTTTGCCAGATAAGAAAACCGCAGTCCAGAGGAGTGAAGGGTCTTTCCTGAGGTTCCACATCAAGTTAGAGGCATAGAGGGTCACTGGCTGCTGGTGTCATCTTGTTCTGCCACATAGTACATGCTTCATCAGCCCCACCTGACATTATTTCACTGTAAGGTTGGGGAAACTGAGGTTCAGCAGGGAGGCTACTTGTTTCTTTTTGTGTAGTCTGTCTCCCCAGTCAGCGAAGGCTCTTGGAAGGCAGGACCTGTGACTGTTCTGTGGACTAACGCTTGCCCCAGGGCCCAGGACTGGCACGTAATAGGCGTGCAGTAAATGTCTGTGGAATGTGAGAATAAAACAAGGTCATGTGGGAAGTCAAGGGCAGGCAGAACAGAAACCCAGGTCTCTGTCTCTGGACCTGCAGGCTGGGCTGTATTCAGTGCACTGGGAAACCTGAACTCTTGGTGCTGAAAGGGAGCCTTGGGTATCTTGAGAGTAGGGCCTGGGTTTTGTGGTCCATATTGCCCTTGGTGAATGAATGAAGGAAGGAGAGAATGCACATATGTATGCATCAATGAGAGGATCTGGTCCAGCCCTTTCATGAAGCCCAGAGAGGGGAAGAGCTTGGATAAGGCTGCATAGCTGGTGGGCCCAGGGCCAGCTCAGAGCAGGGCCTCAGACAATGTCAGCTGAATGAATGATACAGCTTCCCTGCTTGACATGGGACAGGGACCCTTTCTCTCCCTACAGGGGCAGTTCTGCAGGGATGGGATCATCTTTTCAAGCCACTGCCTGGGTCTTTGCATCACTCATCATCACCCCAGGAATGACATTAACAGTGGGCCCAGCTGCTTGTGACTGGCCTGCTCCCCGCACCCTCCCCATCACCTCACACTGGCACATGGACCACAGTGGGCCTCTAGGGAGCCCTACCCCTTTTCCCAAGATGGGAGGCCGGAGCAGGGACTGAGTCCTGGTGTGGCCTCATGTTGCTGTGCCCTTGTCCTCGCCCCTTCCTTTCCTCTGCACCTCGGTTTCTGCTTCTCCAACCTATGTTCTTCGGTGCTGCCCTTGGTGTGGGGATGGGATAGTGCGGAAGAGAGAGCAGGACTGGGGCTTGATCGCCTGGACCCAAACCCTGCTCTACCCTGACCAGCTCTGCAGCTGGCCTGGGGCGAGGCACTCACCTCTCTGAGCTTGGAGCTTCTCCCTGAAAGATGGGTGAGAATCCATTCTCCACCCTAGTCTGTGATGAGGGCTGGGTAACGCTGTGCCGGTTACCCAGTACCTGTCCAGCACCTGCCCTGTGCATGTTCTGGAAGTATGGCCAGTACTTTCATTACCTCTTCAGCGTCATTGCCCCCATCCTGGCATCCTAGCACCTGGCCCTCATTTGGATAATGCTTTATCCAAAGATAAAGCATTCTGTGCGATGGAACATTCCATCTCCAAGCCTTTGCTGTCACTTGTGCCTGAAATGCCCTCTCGCTGTCGCTCTGAATCGGAGACCCCCTGTTTGCCCCCTGACCTGGCCTGTGTCTCAGAATCCCTCTGGATTCACGCTCTTTCCTCTGGGTGCCCTACAGCCCAGGCCCTTCCTCTGCAGGGTCCCATCTGCAGGCTGCCCCACCATCCGGGCCCTCCACTTCTCTCTGTTCCTGGCACAGCTGTGACTGTCTCTCCCTGCCTCAGTACCCCGGAGGGTGTAGAGTGTCTGGATCAGGCTCTTTACCTCCCCAGCCTCACAGCCAAGGCTAAGAGAGGAGAAATGCCTGGGTTCAATTCCCAGCTCTGCCACTCCCCAGCTCTGTGACCTGGGGCAAGTATCTTCCCCTCTCTGAGCCTCAGTGTCCTCCTCTGTGCAGTGGGGATGTTGTCAGCCTTTGCTTGGCCGGGTTGTAGTGGAGATCATGTGAATCCACATCTGAGATTGCTTAGGATGGGTGCCCAGCTTCCCCTAAGGCCTGTGTGAGTGTTTGCTGTCATTATTGTTATTATTGTTGCTGTGGTCACCAACTCTCCCAAGGCTACAGAGCAGATAAGGAAGTGGGGTATCCTGGGTAGAGCGGCTGGGCCCAATGCCAAAGTCCAGCCAGTCTGCCCACCCATCTCCCTCCCACCTCTGAGGCCTCAGAGCTGCCAGCTCTTGAGGAGGGAGCTATGTATGTGCTGGGATTTCTGGAGGGGGAAGGAGAGCCCAGTGGGAGGAGGTAGAGCCCTTCTCCCCACCAGGGGTGGTTCTGGGAGGGGCAGGTGAGTGGCAGGGGATGTTGGAACAACAGAGCTCCTGTTTACCGTGAGGGACCTTAATATTGTGACTGCTGCTTCTGCTCTGCCTCCCTGCTGTCTCACTTGGCAAATATGCTCCCTGGGGACCACGCAGGACTGGCTGCTCCCCCAGCTCCTTCTCTCCTGGGAACAGCCAGGGGAGGGGGAGCCGTGCCTCCACTTCCTCCAGAGGCCTTTCTCTCCCTTCTGCGTGGTAATGCCTGGCTGGGGAGGCACAACTTGAATCACAGTGGCGGGGAGACTTCTGGCCCCACGCCCTGCTTGCTGTGTGACCGTGGGTGCAGCACCTCATCTCTCTGAGCCTCAGTTTCCCTACTTGGGAAGTAAAGGGCTTAGTCTACAGCTCCAAAAAGTTATGAAAATTATTCTTTTTCTCTTCACCAGGAGAAGAAAAAGGAGACTTTCATTCAAAGTTGTGGTGGTTGTGGTGGTGGTGGTAGTGTGTGTGTGTGTGTGTGTGTGTGTGTGTGTGTGTGTACCTAAAATGCAACCCTTCCTCCTTCCCCTAGGAAAGGCTAGCTTCAGGTAGGCCTGCTTCCCCCACTCCACCTTCCTCCAGGAAGCCGTCCCTGACCATCCCTCTCTCCAGCTGGGTTAGAGTCCTCTGGGCACCCGTAACACTGGCTTTCCTCTCTTAAGGCACCTGTGTCTCACCTACTCTAGTACCAGGCCTGGTCTGAGGGGCCTCACCCCAACCACAGCATAGAGCCTGGCAGAGCAGCCTCACTGCCTATGGAACTACTCTAAGATGAGACAATGGGAGTGATTTCTGGACTTTCAGACCAGGGCAATTTCCTGGGTGTCAGGATGTGGGTGGGCGTGGGAGTGGGAGTGGAAGGCCCTGCTCTCAGGATCTGTGGAGCCTCTCCCTATAGAATCTTGAACGACAGAGCTGGGCAGGTGGTCCCTAGGACACACAGTGAGATGTTAACTCTCATTTCCCAGGCCTGATTCTGTATGTGGGCCTAGTTTGAGGCCTCTGTACCTCCAAGTGAGCCTTGCCCCAGAGAGCACGGCCCCAGAGAGCACGGCCAGGCCCAGCTACGGCAGCTGGCATGGCCCTGTCTGATCCTCCCTTTCATTCTGGGCCTCTCTGAACATCCGGCCCTGTGCCCTCCATCCTTGGTGTTCAAAGCTTCACAGAAGCAGCTCAGCAGGAAATGAGAGTGCTCTGACCCCTCTAGTCCCTTAAACTCTTTTAAAGGAAGAAATACCCTGATGGGAGTGTCTTCTGGCAGATTTACATTTTTTAAAAAATGCCAGTCACTGCTCTACAAAATGGGAAGCCCAGGCTCTAGAGTGAAGATCAAGGTGCAGAGAGCTGGGTGGCCGACTTTTCTCATCATTCTGCTCTGGGCCAAGGGCTGCTTCTCACCCTGCTTCCCCAGAGAGTAGCCACAGGGCCAGGCTCCCTCCATCTCCTCTCCCTGCCCAGCTCTAGCTTGGCCCATGGCTCTCTGAACCTCCCACTGCACTCCTGCTTCTGTTTTTTTGGGTGCCTGACCTCCACCAAGCATCTCCTTCCCCTCCTAGCTCCTGACCCGAGGCCTTGGAGGAACCCTCCCTAGGTTCCAACTGGGAGGGCATCCCTCCACTACATGTCCTTTGAGACTGGTTCTAGAGCCCAGCATCAGGAAACTATACAGGTTTGGAGCCCAAGAGATCTGAATTTAAAGTTTAGCTCTATAGCCATCAGCTTTGGAATTTGGGCAACTCACAAACTCTCCCTGAGCCTCAGGTTTCCCATCCAGAAAGTGGGTATAAAAGCACCCATCTGAGAGAGTGACTGCAAGACGGTGAATGAATGTGTGTGATGTGCCTAGCAGCCAGCCTGAGAACAGTTCTGTTCCAAGTGGGGCCCAGGACTGGTGCCATCCGCAGACTGGTCATAATAGAAATGGAGAGTGAGAATACTTGTACAGCAGCTTGACAAGATGGTGACATTTTAGCTTATTTCATGAAAGCATTTCCAACAAATTGGAAAATAAACTGATTGGAAATGAAACAAACTGGTTCTTCCACACTTAGACTTTGAGACGTCTTACTCAGCATGGAAGAAATCTCAAGAAACAGTGGTTATTTTCATCCATCCATCCACCCATCCACCCACCTATCCACCCATATGCCCACCCACCCACCCATCCACCCATACGCCCACCCACCCATCCATCTACCCACTCATCCATCCACACATCCACCCACCCACCCACCCATCCACCCATCCACCCATCCACCCATCCACCCATCCATCCATCCATCCATCCACCCACCCATCCATCCATCCATCCGTAGATTCACCCCTCACGGTGAATTCATCCCTCATGGCGGATGCTCAGAGGACCTAAATTTGGCTCTGGCTGTGACTCTTCATTTATTGAGCTTTGTTGGGGTAGATGAGAGAGGTCTGTATGTTCCCCAAATTTCTTCAGGCAGAGGCAGCTCTGAATTATATCATATTGTCAGGGGTAGGGCCAGGAGAAGCCCCATCCCCCAATTGCACCCCTTGCCCTTGCTTGGCTCCTGCTTTCATTTTCATCAGGAAAACCCGGGTAGGATTTACTCTAAGTCTGTTCTTCATCTTCCCAAAACTCAAAGTCAGGAGTTTGTCCCCCACTCCACCTCCCCCAAACTAATTTCCTTTTATTATGAAAACCAGAAAAATGACAAGTAATTGCTTGAAGATGTTAGAAAGATTGCATTTTGTTTTGCTACTATCAGCTTAAAAATAATGTTTAAGAGATTATGAATGGGTGATTAACTATTTTTTCTATTACTTCTCTCTCAAAAGCAAAACCACAACGATTGTGATATGCACAGTAAAACGAAAGCCCAGCTATCTGAAACCAGGCTAGAAGAAACCAAAAATACCCACCCCACAAGGAGCCATGTCCCTTTCGGGGAGAAATTGTTGCACTCAGATCTGGGAGAAGACAGAGCCATGCAAAGTTAAGTTGCTAAAGTGGCTAAAAACAAACATGGTCTCCACGCGCTAATTTTTCTCCATGGCCCCTCCTCCCCACTCCTTACAGTAAACAGCAGTTATGGGGACTGCAGTCAAATTCCCTATTTACTGCCTTTCCTGAGTCAGTTTCTTTTGGGTGAAAACAGTCTCTGATGCAGCTCTATTGCACCATTTCAGCGGGTGTTTATCATTTAAAAGGAACAATTTTAATACCTACATTTGCCTTACAGTATGAGCCATAAATGTGATTTAGGTTTCCCTTTATAATAGACTCTACAAACGATTGCCTAGGCTCCAGAAGAACTGTTTCTCCAAGTGCTGGCCATGAAAATGAACAGGCTTTTCCTTTCTTTACGAAAGTTTTCCTTTTTAATACCTCTTGAAATTAATTGAACAAAAACTGGGTAAATGGGCTGACTCACACATCTTCCTTGCTGGGAGTCTGGAGCCTGCCAGCAATGTCTTGGGAAAGGATGGGTCTCCCAGAGTGGGCATGGGAGGAAGGCCCAGGAGGTTGTGCTGCTGATGCTGTTTGTCCTACTTCCTGCCCCCCTGGGCCCCAGCTTCCTCCTCTGCAATGGTGGGGTGGCGATGGTGGTAATAACATAGATCTCCGACATCAGTGCTACTCAAAGCCAGGTTTGTGGGCTGGCAGCATCAGCATCACCTAAGAGCTTGCTAGAAATGCCAATTCCCTGGCTCTGCCCAGACTTGCTAAATCAGAATCTGGAGGTAGGGCCCAGCAATCTGTACGAGAAGGTTGTCCGGGTAATTCTAATACATGCTAATGTTTGGGAAGCTCTGACTATTTGGAAGCAGAACTAGAAGCCTGTCAGGGGTCACAGTGAACTGCTGAAAGTGTTTATGAGCTCCCATAATCCAGTGGCATCCTGGTCCTGGGAGCGGTGAACCCACTGGGTGCTTAGGATCCAAGCTGGTGAGTGACAAAAGTAATGGATCCAGTCTTGGACACCATAGACTAGACTTGAAAGTTGACAGACTCAGGTGTGTGTCCTGAGATGGGAAAGAGGACGGTGACAAGTCTGAAAGATAGAATCTGTCCTGTTTATTCAGAGTTGATGTCTACATGGTTTCAGGGTTCAGAGCTGGGTAGAACCCCAGGGGAGAGGAGGCATCCTGGCCAATGGAAGTGTGCAGGCAGGAGCTTCAGATTGTGATCCCCTTTGCCATTGAAGGGTTTCCTACATTAGGGAGGGTCCCCATTGGCCTCAACATTCCAGGACCTGTTTCCTTTTAGCCTATACCTCACCTTCTTGTGGCCTCCCTTCCCCAGAGTGGAAGGGTTGTAACCCTGTAAATGAGGAAAGTCCTTCTGCATGGACATACTGCTTCCTGCTGAGAAATACCTCCATTCAGGGGAAAAATGGGATTAATTTTTAGCGGAAGCAGCAGTGGCTGAACATGCAGTTTTCAAATTGTTGACTATGATATTAAGTAACAAGCAGACTCCTGTCCAAAGGATGTTATTAAAATTAACTGTTTTAGCACTACAGTTAGAATCAAAAACCAATCTGTCACTCCTAAATTGGTTTCTTTCAACTGCTATTTGCGGGTAAAATGAACAGTTTTAACAATTACATCTCCAGTGCAAATCATAAACTTGATTTACAGGAAAACACTTAATTTACTGCATTTGACTGTGCACCAGAGCTGCCAATTATCTGACTGTAAATTTCCCCACTTGGTTATTTGTTTCCTAAACAGCAGCCTTGGCCCCATTGCCTCCCTCACCTCTGGGCCCAAGGCCCCACCTGGGGTTGCAGAACCTGATTGGGGTTTTGTTTGTGAAGCGCTGGTGCTCGAAAGCAGACAGGGTCCACATGGACCCTCTGTCTGTGTTATTTCAAGTTGTAAAATATTGAGTAGAATATCACTGCTCTTTAACCTAGTCTGAGCTAGCCATGAAGGAGGAAGAATCACAGAATCTGTGAGCATAAAGACCATGGAGAGAATCATTCATTCATCCATTCATCAAACAATGATTACGCAGTCATTTTCCCAGAGCTGGGAGCTATAGGCTATGCAGTGATGGCTGCGTCTCCCATGGTTCCTGCCCTCAACAAATTCACAGTCTAAGAGGAAATACATGTGCTGTATTATTCAATATCATTTTGTGGTATAATAAATTTTCCCTTTAGTTGTTGGCTGTTAATGAGCCAAAGTGCTGGGGCCCACTGAGAAGTGATTGTTCTGCTTGGAGGTGCTGGAGAAAATAGAGAAACTCACATGCCGTAGTTTTGCAGAAGTTCCATTTGAACTGAGTCTTGATGTCTGAATACGAGCTTTTCAGGTAGAGAAGGAGAGGAAAGGGTCTTTCAGGCAGGGGGAACAGCATCAGCCAATTCTTTTTGGCACAGAAGAACAGGGTATGTTTAGTGAGGGGGTGAATGGTCTGGCCTGGGAGGAGGGAAGGGGGCAGGTTGGCACCAGGATGCCGCTTTTAAGGAGTTTAGAGTCTGTTGGATTTATAATCCAAGTCCTTCTCTAGCTAAGCAAATGGAAGTCCACAGCATTGAGATACCCCGTGTAAGTCAGGAGAGACTGTAAATGCCAAGAAGCTATAGGATGGAGAATGGAGGATAGTTTCCTGGTATTTTGAGAAGTAAGAAAGCATATGCAAACATATGTAAATGAGATGCAAGCCGGCACCTGCTCTGCATTGTGTAGTCAGCCAGCTTTCTGCAGCCCTGTGTGTTTCTACAAAGGTGAGAGAGGTGCCTCCTTGTGACTCCAGCTGAGCTACGGGAGATATCAGGGGGTTTCATAAAAAAGAAAAATTACCCCAAGACTTTCCCTGCCAGGGTCCTTTCTGTTGGAGGAAGTGTCCCCTTGGGAGAGAGAAGAGGACCAGAATTTAGGCCTCAGAAGGGAAGGATGAAGCCCCCAAAGTTGCCACCTTCTAGGGAGCCCAGACCTCAGGATTTTGAGGAGTTGGCTCCATCAGTGTCAAGAGGTTTGTGTGGGCAGCTGGCTTGGGAGGGTGGGGGGTTCTCATGCCCTCTGCTCAGGCCCTCTGCTTCACCCCAGCATGCCCCACTCCCCTAGGCTCAGTGTCCCCACGGGAAGGGATCAGTGGGAGCTTTCAGCGCCAATGTCTCATGAGTTGAAGGTCAGTGGTTTTCTCTTGGACTGATGATTGTCCTGCTCTGATCCACCTGACTCCAGAGGGGTGGGTACTGACATGGTGACTCAAGAATGTGGCCTCGGTCTCCCCCTGGGGCCTTGTGGTTAATCCCCTACTCTCCTGTGGTCTGGAACCACTGAATGCAGATTCAAATCTCTCTTTCCTCCATGATTCTATCAAGAAAGAAGAGGGTTGTCATCTCAGTTGACACAGGGGTGGAGGCCCGTGCGTGGGCCCCTGAAGTTTCTAGGGCTGACTCTTCCTAATTTTCTGTGTGGCCTTGAACAAATCCTCTCTCTGGATGTCACTCGCACCTAAGAAGCCAGATACTTCAGGTAAGAGCCCTTTCCTGTTGACAGTTGCCTCATCCTGACCTGCTGGCAGGGTGTGTGGCGGGGAGCTGAGCCCCTTAGGGACAGGGGCTGCTTGACAAACATTTTGGAGGGCTGAGGGGGGCATTGGGGCATCCCCACCTCCAGGAAAACACTGCAGCCTCAGGCCCCTGCAGTAGAGGCACCCCTGGAGGGAGGGAGGGCCAGCTGCCAGGCTCGTGCCCCTTGTGGGTCCAGGGGGCCGACGTTGGGGAGGGCTCTCCGCCATTTCTGGCTGCCCCTCTAGTCCTTCCTCGGGTCTCTTTCATCCTCCCTCCCCTCTCTCCCATCTGCATGCCAGACTTTCCCTCCCAGTCTTTTCTATCTGTGCTCTCTCTCTTATTCTCTGAGTCCCATGGTTTTCTCTCAGCTCCCTGCCTGGCCTCTCTGTCTCCCTGCAGGCCTCTCTCTTTCATCTTCCTCTCCTTGCCTGCTCTGGAAGTCCTTCTCCATGTGTTCCCCTGCCTCGGTATAACCTCTCCTCTGTCCACCTGCACCCACTTTCTCCCCCAGCTTCCCCCACCCAGCTCCCAAGTCCTGAGCGCTTTGGGGGAAACTGAGGACAGGTTTCACCCTACTAAGGATGGAACAGGCAGGACGGGAGAGAATAGCCAGCCTTCAGCAGGTGGCACTGTTGGGTGACTTTTGCTTGTAAAACCTTTTAGCACTGAAAAAACATGCTGGAATCTATTGGCATTTGAGAGGCTCTTTTTTTTAAAAAAATAAAAATAATGACTCTCATTTCCTGGGCATCATTAAACAAGGTGCAGTGTTTGTGTGTGTACGTGTGTGATGAGGATGTATGCACACAGATGTCTGCACCTGAGCCTGTGGGGCTGGAGTGTAGGGGTGTATGTGTGAGCAAATGTCAGGGCCCTGGGTGCCTGGGTCTACATGTGTAGGGATGGGAGTGTCTGTGTGCGACACACACAACCTGTGTGAATGTGGGTTTCCGTATGAACTGGTGTGTACCAGCATGGGATGTGTCTACACGTATGCACCATCACACATGAAAGTATGTGTGTGAGCGAGCAGGGCAGGTCGGGCTGTGTGGGGAGCAGGGTGGTGTGTTTGTGTCTGCGGATGTACCCACCAGCGGAAGCACAGTGGAGGGGAGGGAGAGTCATGGAATTAGGCCTCCAGGTTTCAATTCTGGCTTCACACTGCAGTGGTGTGATTTTGCTGAAGTCTCTGAGCCTCAGACTCTTCATCTGAGAAATGAGATAATAGCATTATCTGGCACTCCGGATGACTGTGAGGATTAAATAGGCTCTTCTGTGTAAAGGGCCTGTCCTGGCATGGGCCCAGTAGGCTCAGGGCCACAGTGTGTCTGGGTGAGAGTCAGCAGGTGTGGCCTTCTGCTCTCCAGCTCCACTGTCTGGCTGGGCTGGACTTGCTGGCCCTCAGGCCTGTGGTGTTGGCCTCTCTAGGGGTATGAAGACCCAGGGGTGGGGATGTCCTGAGGGCTCTGGGGTCTGACCAGCCCTAGTGTTTCCTGGCTCTGCTGGATAGAACCACAGCCAGAATGACCGCCCCCCTGCCCCGCCCCCCAGCAGTGGAGATCCAGCATGCAAGAGCTGCAGTGGCCCTCAGGGGTCGTCGACTCCATCCAGCTCCCAACATAACAGGAGAGGGGAGGGCAGGCCACAGCTCCCCACATAACAGGAGAGGGGAGGGCAGCCCACAGCTCCCCACATAACAGGAGAGGGGAGGGCAGCCCACAGCTCCCCACGTAACTGGAGAGGAGATGGCAGCCCAGAGGGGCCGGTAGCCTGACCTGCGCCCCATCGTAAGTCATGGGCTGGCCACTGTCTGAGGGCTGTAAGCTGGGCTGATTCCGAGGCTGGGGCCCAGAGGCAGAGGCAGAGGCAGAGGGCAGCTCCCTGCCTCAGCTCCTTGCAGTCCTGACTCCACCCCTCCACCCCTCTTCTTTCCTCTTCCTCATCTCTTTGTGGCGACCTTCTGCCTTAGAGCTGAAAGTGGAAAGAGGGCCGCATCTGACTGGTTCTCTACTGCTGTGTAACAACCATACCAGAAGAGAGGGGCTTCGAGCAATGTCTTCTTCTTTTGCTCTGCTCTCTGGGTTGTCTGGGACTCACCTGGGTCTCTCATGTGGTGGCTAAGGCTGGCTTCTTGGGGTCTTTGCCTCTCTTCTTGCAGCATCTCATCCTCCAGGGCCTCTCCACGTGGCTTGGGCCTCTCCCAGCAGTGTGGGCTCAGGGTAGTGATTCTTTTTATGTAGCAGCTAGCTCCCAGGACACTGCCAGTGGAGGCTGTCAGGCTAGTTAAGGGCTAAGGCTTGGACTGGCACAAGGTCTCTTCCTCCTATTCTTTTGGAAAAAATCATCATGACCCACCCAAATTCAAGAGGGCAGAGAAATAGAACCCACTTCTTTATAGAGGAGGGGAAGGTCATATTGCCAAAAAGCCTGTGGGATGGGTGATGGTGTGGTGGGCATCTTTGGAAAGTGCAATCTGCTACACCATCTTAATGGCATTATAAGATGACAAGCAAATGCCAGTCTTAAGAATGTTTCTTCTCCACCATTTCATCCAGCCCTCCCAACAGCCATCTGCAGTGGGCCTGTCCTGGCTTCATCACCCCCTGTGTCACCCTGGGCAACTCCCTTCACTTCTCAGCACCTCAGTTTCCACGTGTTGAACAGGAGTGGTAATAGTTCCTGTTTCATTGAGTTGTCATAAAGCAAGAACTCAGCCCAGCACCTGGAGAGACCTCAAATGCGTTGTTACTATCATCGCCCTTCTCTTCCTTTCACAGATGAGGAAACTGAGTCTCAGAGAAGTCGAGGGACTGGCTCAGAGATGTACAGCATGGCATTGCTGGAGCCGGCCTGGAAGACAAGCAGTCTCCCTCCAATTGCACACTGTTTTCTCTGAGGCTCTGCATTGTTGGAGGAAGGGTCAGAGGGGCTGGAGAGGAAGAAACAATGCAAATATGAGGCAGCAGAAGGGAAATAGAGGTACTGGGGGCTTCCAGCCTCATGCTGCTTGCTCTCTCCTGAATCCATCGTTGGTCTTTCTGTCCTAATCCGACCACTCCATCGCCAGCCTCCATTCCTCTGAATGTTGATAGAAGAGCTCCGGACTCTTTCCAGCTTTCCAGACTTTTCCACTCACACAGACTCAAGGGTCCTCCCAACTGTCTTGTGAAAAGAGGCCATCCCATTCCACAGGAGGGGAAACTGAGGCTTGGAAAAGGCACATGGTCCCATGTAGCGTCACTGTGGCTCTTCGGACTCTTCCAGGTCCCTCTGCCTGTCCTGGGCCTGCCATTGTTCCACCTCCAGGTCTGCCCACTGCCTGCACCTCTCCTCCCCGTCTCACCTTGCCCTGCACTGCAGCTGCCACGACCTCCAGCAGCCCTTTAGACCAACGTCCTAAAGCGATAATGCCATGATGTTCCTGGCTTTTTCAAAACCCTTTTCCTAGAGTGTGTTAACCAGAATGGCAGTCCCACGAGGATCTCTGTGATGAAAGGGCTTCATGGTCAAATAGTTTGGGAAACGTGGCTTCCTTTGTCCCTTCCTTCTCAGTTTGCCAAATTTAATTATGCCACACCCCCATGCACCTTCTTTTGTTTCATGATATCATTATTTAATACCCCATTTTGGAATATTATCTAAGAAATGTGGCCTGAGGAATGAAGTTCAAATCTCTCCTCTTGGCGTCCAAAGGGCTTCACCATCAGATCTCAACCTTGTTTTCCACCGTGCCTCTCTTGGACATCCAGAGCCCTTGCCCTCCCCTCAGTAGTCCCTGGTGTCCACAAAATCCATGGTCTCACCCTCCCTGTTTTTGCTCAGACCTCTCAACTCCCGTCATGTATCTCAGAGCTCTGTTTCTCCAGGGACACCCCCAACCTCTCACCCCTTGGCGGTGCACTGACTGCTGCATCTCACTCAGCCATTGGTTGGGTGCAAAGTAAATTTTCTTTCCAGGCATGAACCTGAGTCCCAAACTCAACCCTAAGCTCTTTAAGGGTGCAAGTGTCATCTTGGGTTTCTGCGTCTCCTGACTTCCTCCCCAGGCCTGGTGCAGAAGCACTGGCAATGCGTCTTATGCTGGGCAGACGGTGCCCAGCAAAGTTGAATAGATATGTGGCAACAGGCTGGCTCAGCTGGAGTTTCACCCTCAGTAGGGAGGAACACATAACTCCTTCTTGCTGTGGTATGGGAGTCCCAGGGTCTCAGGACAGTAGAGGCCACTGGTCCACACATGTCTTCTATGTTCAGTTTGATCTGAATTTGAGATTAGCGATTCTCTTTCTCCTCTCCCTAGTGGGAGAACAACAGGAGCTGGGCTTTGGCTGTAGCAGCAGAGGTCCCAGTTAGACTCAAGGAATAACTTTCCAAGTAGCAGAGACTGTGGACCATTTGCCAGATTGGATTTCAGTGATTGGTTTTAGACTAAGAGGACTTTCTCTGTTGTCCTTAAGGATTTAGGGGTGACTGTGTTCTCCCAAGAGGTGGATAAGATGACCTCTTTTGGGCTTTTCTATCCCTGTAATTTCCAGAGCTGCCAGCTCTCTGGGTCCCTGGGGTCACAAAGGGAGGAAGAATTTCGACACAGGGAAGGAGGTGGGAGGAAAGGGGAGAGGGGTTTGTGTTGGGGGAACAGACCCCAACCTCTGCAGCTGGGGCATGTACTGCCCAGAGGAAGGAGGTTGGCGTGCCAAACCGCCCCAGTGGCTCTTGGAGCCTCTCTGGGGCTGCTCCCCCACTCACGCGCCACAGTTATTTTTAGCACTGGGATGTGCAGAACATGCTACAGAGAAACAGAGTGGAAAATCTGACACTCAGAGCCCCGCTTGGAGGGAGACACAGTTCTTCCAGCCGGGCGCCACTCACGTGTCTGATTTGCATCTTGCACGTTTCTCCAAGCAGCCCGACTACTTTGAATTCCAGCTGGCTCCCGGAGCTGACCCACAGCCTCCTGGACAGGGCCTGGGGTCCTTGCACTTGGCAGGTGGCGATGGCTCTGGTCAGGCTCCCCTTGCTTCTGCTGGCCATCAGAATTGTGACCTGCATACAAGCATGGGGCGCTACATAAAAAGCCCAGTGGTCGTCTCCTGGGTGTCCCAGACATCATGTGGAGAAGACAGGGCAGGTCTTAGGATTGTTGTTGGGTAGGGGAGGAAAGCCAGGCCCAGACAAGGCATCTAAGGACCTGAGGTCACACAGAGAGGGAATAACAGAGCTGGCCCTCAGGAGGGTCAGCCCCCTCTGTCCTTGGGGCATCCCACTGGGAATGCAATGTCTAGGAAGCCTAGAGTCGAAGTCCAAACCAGCTCAGGAGACAAGGAGGTTGTGTAGTGGATATTTAATTATAAATTACTTTATGTTTTTTCCCTTCTTATTACAAAAACAATGCATGCTCTTTGTAGAAAATTTAAAAATACAGATAAGCAAACAAGAAAATTAAAAACACCCATAATCCCAGCACTCAGAGATAAACCCTGTAAATATTTTGGTATGTTGCTGAATATACCACCAGGCTTTTCCTTTTTCTTCTGTAAAACATTTTCATTTATTTTTAATTACACCTGTAATATAGGAACACATTTTTTGTTAGAAAAATTCAAACAATACAGATCAAGCTAAAGTCGCCTCTCTCCCTCCCCAACCGAGCTTCCCTTTTCTGCAGAGGTAATCACAGTTCTAATTTGATGTATATCGTTCCTGATCTTTTTTTAAGTGTACACACACATTCATATCATATAGAGATATGTGGTTTTATTTTTAGTGTGTTTGGATGGGCTTTTTTCCCAACAGAAATGGTAGCATATTGCATGTGTTGTTCTACACTTTGATTTTGTCACCTATTAGTCTTGGGGTCCTCTCAGTGTCAGTGTTTAGAGCTCTAACTCATTTGCTCTAACGGCTGGGTAGAATTCCCTTGCATGCATACATCAGAGTTTATTTAGGCATTCCCTTGTGATAGACTTTTTGATTGCATCCACTGTGTGTGTGTGTGTGTGTGTGTGTGTGTGTGTGCGCGCGCGCACGTGTGTGATTGCAACACTGCCTTTCAGTGCTCTCATATGTGCCTCCTTGGGTGAGAAAGCTTCTCAAGGGTCAAAGCCGAGATGAGAAATGGCTAGTTACTCTCGTTTTATGCGCATTAAGAAAATGGGAGCACCTTGGATCAACTGCCGTAAGAATCTGCCTTCTCCACTTTTCTGTGCTAATATGAAGGCAGCTCTGACAGCATTTCCCAAACTGTGCTCAGGACAGCGCTGTGTGCTGGGAGACCCTGATAGGTCCACCTAGGGAGATAAAAAATCAGGGCAGGTGTACGGTTGAATACATTCAATGTACAGTCGAATAGATTCACTGAAATGCTCTTGGAAATTCACCAGTGCCCATTAGTATGTCAAGAGGTGTCCTGAAGTAAAGAAACAAGTTTGTCTTCATTTAGCCTGGCTGTGGAGGGCTGCGGTGTAGGAAACAGATTGCAGCAGACAGCGGCAGTGCCCGACCCACATCCCCTTTGCCCTGCCACTCAGTGCTCTTCTGGTCCCAATTCCACCTGCTGGCACCTGTGCTTTGTGCCTGTGTCTGGTTTCTCTTGCTGCAGGGACCTGTGGGGCTGCCCTGTGGCAGGCTGAGCATGCAGGGGACCCGGTGTTGTCTGTGTTCCAGCCCCAGCAGCCCTCAACCAATGATTGAAGGGATTGGTGTACAGAAGCCCCAGCTCCCTCACCTCTCGGGTGAGATAACTTTGAGGCAAGTGTTTTACATTGATCCCTGTGCTTCCCCAGAGGGATCAGGCTCCAGTTCCACTGTGGTAGCTGGCTTGAAAACATGCCCATTATTGGCTGCCCTCCTTCCTTGTCTCACTTCCCCACTCCTCCCCACTCATCTCTCCAAATTTGAATCTTCTTGCATTAGAGTCCTGGGTTTGCTCCGGAAAGAAGCTCAACTAAAACTGATCAGTGGTTACTTTTTAATGGCTCCATGTGAATGTCCTAAATATTTCTCTCAACAGATCCTGCATTGCTGGACATTGAAGTTGTTTCCTTTTTTTTCACTATTATAAACAATCTTGTGGTGGACATCCTTCTAGCTCAATGGCTGTGTACATTTTAAATTATTGCTTTAGAAACTATTCTAGACATAAAGCCACTGGTTCAAAAGACATGCATCGTTGTAGGGCTTTGATAACTTTGTGGCATCTGCATTCTCCCCTTCTCATCTTGTTCTAATCTTGCCTTGCGTTCCACAGAAGGTACAGAGGGGCCAACCTTGGATGTGCTCTGGAATGAGGCTCCCTCACAGGGACTGGGAAAGGCAGAATACAGGGAATACATGGCAGGATGCAGGGAGACAGGCGAGTATCCACCTGGAGTTCATAGGGAGGCTCTTAGAGCTTAGTGCTGATGGGTGCTTCTTCCCAGGTTCCTGTTCTAAACTCTTCCCATTCTACAAGGCTCCATTGAAATCTTACCTCCTCCAAGAAGCTTCCCTTGACTTTTCCTGCCTTGTGGGCCTCATCTTGAGGCTGCACGTGATTTGGTACTAATTCTATATGGGTCATGACACATCCTGTGGGTGGTAACAGTCAATGTTAAGCACATGACAGATTTACACGTTTGGGGTTCAATAAATGCTTGAGGTAAGAAAGCCAGGGAACACAGATTTGAATCTACCTTTGCTGCTATCCTTGGTGGGAACCTGTGGGTCTCCAGGCAAGGGCCCCGAGGTGGGCTTGAATGGGAATAAGCACAGTACCGGCCCACTCTCTCCCTTCTCAGCCTCTCATTTTGCCCCCTTTCCAGGAGTCTTTCAGCCAGGAGTCCCAGAGGCTTGGCTGTCTGCATTCAGCCCGGGGCTGCGAATATCAGTGCGCCTTTCTTTTTATCCTTCCAGGTGCAGGTTTCCGGAGACAAATATACCCTCCATTCCCAGCCCCTCGATCTGTCTAAACACAATTTGACATGCGTTGCTATTAGCTTAGCACCTTATCAAATAATGCGGCCTGATCGAGATAAAAGGTTTTACAACCCTTGCTGCCTTTGTTTCTGCCTGCATTCACCCGCCGAGACAGCTAATAATTACCACCAAAGACAAAGAGAAATCTATACGCTCAGCTTAGAGGTTCCCGTGTGCATGTTAAGCAGCAGCCGGAGGAAAGAGAGGTGGGAGGAGATGGCCCCAAATGCAGCCCGGGCTTTGCAGCCTGCTGGAGAGAGTGGCCCCCTGGTTGCTGGGTGACCCTGTAGTTTGGTGCTGTCTAACCCTGGAGGTGGAGAGAAAGGTGGAGGCTGTGCCCCAGAGCCCTGCCCTGGGGTGTCAAGGCCTGGTTTGGCAGGTCAGGGTGGTGTGAAGGGAAAGGCAAGGATGCTGGCGTAGAGGGTTGCTGAGACCTGGGTTTCTGCCTGGCTCTGCTCCCAGGCTGCTCTGTGACCTTGGGTAGCTCCCTTGTCCCCTGTGGGCTTCAGTCTCTGTTTCCATAGCCTCTGGCTTCTGTGATAGGGCACCAAGGCAGTGTGGTGGGAGGGTGCCCGAGGCAGTGTGATGGTGAGAGGTGAAGCCAGCTGGACTTCCTGGGTGGAGTGGGGACTTGGAGAACTTTTCTGTCTAGCTAGAGGATTGTAAACGCACCAATCAGCACTCTGTGTCTAGCTAAAAGATTGTAAATGCACCAATCAGCACTCTGTAAAAAATGCATCAATCAGCACTCTGTGTCTAGCTAAAGGATTGTAAATGCACCAATCAGCACTCTGTAAAATGGGCCAATCAGCACTCTGTAAGGTGGACCAATCAGCACTCTGTAAAATGGACCAATCAGCAGGATGTGGGCGGGGACAAATAAGGGAATAAAAGTTGACCACCCCCACCATCAGCGGCAACCTGCTAGAGTCCCTTTGCAGCTTGCGGAAGCTTTGTTCTTTTGCTCTTCACAATGAATCTTTCTGCTGCTCTTTGTTTGGGTCTGTGCTACCTTTAAGAGCTGTAACACTCATCGCAAAGGTCTGTGGCTTCATTCTTGAAGTCAGCGAGACCAAGAACCCACTGGAAGGAACCAACTGTGGACACAATGGGAGTCTGGAGACCTCAGTTCGAGAGTCAGCTCAGCTGCTCAGGCAGTTGTATGTTGTTGTGGGCCTCCATTTCCCCATCTGGGAAATGAGGAGCTGGTTGGGATGATTACCGTGGGCATGTCAGGACTGTGCCCCAGGTGGTGGATAACGCAGCTGGCCTCTCCCTGGATGTCTATTCAAGGACCATGCCTATGTGGGGTCTTGACTGGGTGCTGGGGAAGGAGGAGATGTAAGTCTTCAACCGAGAACCTGTTCTAAAGAGGCAGTTTTCCTTCCAGCACCAACAAAGACAGAGTGAAATGGGAGCTCAGTGGGGGAGGAATAATTGTGAATGCAGTCTCAGAAGGCTTCCTGGAGGAAGAAGGGATGAGTGGTGCCAGGGTAGATGGGGTAGAGTGTCTGAATGGGGCTCTGTGCAGCAAGAGCAGTGATGAGGATTGTGAATAAAGTGGGCTGCAGGGGTTGTGAGTCTGTGATAGAACAGTCTGGATTCCAGCATCTGCTGGCACTGGCCACTCTCCAGGGGACACGGATTCCCATAGAGCTCAGGACTGTTGGGGGCTGCCTGGATTCCCCTCTCCCCCCGCCCTGGCCTGCTGTGGGAGGGATAGAGCTAGTGTGCTCAAAAATGTTTAACGGTTCCCTGTAAACGTCCCCATCGTGACCGATTCCACAATACCAATGTGACATCACCAAATGCAGAGTTGGGAAGAGATGAGCACACTTGACTCTCAGGAGTG
Organism: Homo sapiens; assembly: GCF_000001405.40. Lineage (NCBI taxonomy): Eukaryota > Metazoa > Chordata > Mammalia > Primates > Hominidae > Homo > Homo sapiens. The sequence goes on from NC_000010.11 coordinate 78,220,839, forward strand.
GGTGTGAGCTGCCTCCAGCACACCGCAGGTTGGAGTCCAGTGTAAACCCAAGGAGTCAGGTCAGAGACCCACATGGTGTCAAGACTCAGAAGATAAAGGATGGAGTAGCACACATGCCACCTCCACTCCTACTTGTGCCTATGGCAGACATCACTAATCAATTGTGTCTCTGCTAAGCTCAGAATTATTCTCATCTGAGTGCTCCAGGCAGTCGCTAGCAATTGATTACAGTTGGCATACAAAATGACAGTTCTTTGCCATTGCAGATCTAGGCTAACCTCCACATTGTACACATGGGGGAAACTGAGGACCAGATAGGGAAGGAGACTCTCTTGAGGTCATCCAAACAGTTTGGGAAAGCTGAGGCTGGAAGGCCAGTGGCTCACCTCACAAGCTGGCACTCCCCTGTCCTCCCACACTGTCTTTGCTGTTGACAGCAGCAGTAACAAGGGAAAGGAACCTTGTTCCTAAGAGAGGTGGCCTTGGGCCTGGGCTGAGCATCTTATCTTCCCTGAAGTTCCTACCTCGAAGACAGGGATGAGTGCTGTCCTAACCGCCAATTCTCATTACAAAGACGTGTCTGCAGCAAATGGCCATTTTCCCTTTGTGCCCTTCCTTGGGGCATGTGTGTGTGTGTGTGTGTGTGTTTGCGTGTGTGTATGCAGATTTACACAGCCCTGCCCACAAGAATGGACATGTTTTTAATTCCCATAAGCTAGAGACAAACTTGGGGACCTTCCCAGAGAGCAGTGGTCCCTCCTGAGCACCCCTGTTTGTCCCCAGGTTTATCATCAGAGCAGGCACTGGCTCGTGGTTTATCCTGCGATGGACTCTGGGCAAGTCTGCTCATGGCTGCGAAGCGTTGGGCCCACTCTGTTTCCGTCACCTTTATTCTTTTCTTTTTCACTTCGCCACACTCAGATATCATCTCTCTGGCCAGCCCTCCCTGATCCCTGACCCCAGCCCTCTCCTCTGCTTCGAGCTTCCCTCTGGCTTTGTGCCATCACCTGGGGTTGTGGGATGATATGCCTTCATGCCTGTCTCCCTCCTGGACTGGGCGTTCCCTGAAGGCAGGGCTGGGCTTCCTTTTAGCGGAGTCAGCCTGTGATCGTGGTTGAGTTTACCCCAGCAGCTCCCTTTGCCTCTCTCCAGAGTTGTCCTCTTACTGTGATTTGAATCCAGGATTCTTGGATCCGGAAAGAGACCTGGGGACCTTGTGGTCATTCTTGCATTGTTCCCTGGGTGTCCACCAGCTGGGGTTTTAGTTCTAAGCCACAGAAAAGGAGTGTGGCTGATGTAAGTAGACGGTTTAGTGAAAGGTTAGCGTGTACTCGCTGAATTGCTGGGAGCCCGAAGAACCAGGTTCAGGCAGGAGGCAGGGGGCCCGGATGGCAGGCAGGATCACAGCTGCAATTTTGCCACAAGGCTTTCTGGGAGGACACTGCCAGGCCGGGGCACTGGACAGTTTTGCAGCCTTGAGGCCATGTGGCCTTTGGAAACAGGATGTTTGTGCAGCTGCTGCAGCCATCACAAGAATGGAACCTCTTTTACCTGCATGTCCTCAACTCAGATTCAAAATTGCCAGGCAGCTGCCTCTGACCTGTGGAGCCAGGTCACCCGCCACACCATAGCTGCCAGGGGCTAGTGGGCAACTGAGGCTTAGCCCCGCCATGAGTCCCTGAGAGGATGCATGGGACACACCTCGCCATCGCCCCCACTGTGGGGTGAGGGAGCCCAGGCAGGCACTTACCAGTTCCTGTCTCTTGCTTGGTAAAGGCTGTTCCTGGGGTGTGTCAACTCCCTGGCACTCTGCCGTGCCATGCACACAGGGCAGAGGTGATGTATTCCTCCAAAGTCTCCCCAGGAACATGAGGGGTTTCAGGGGAGTGGAGGGACTGAGGATGGACCCTGAGGCTCTGCTGCCCCTACCCCCAGCTTCAGCTTGGGTTCTGCTATGTTCACTGTACTTCTACGTGGGGGTTTGTGGAGACCAATCTCATATTATACTAAACGTCGACACCCATTTGGTCCAACACTGAGGTGTTTGGAGGCCCTAATAGGGGTTCAAGGTCACAGTGAGTGAGCGAGTGGCTGTGGTGCATGAACCCAGGTCCCCTGATGCCCCACGCTGGCCCCTCTGGCAGCACCTCAGCCTCTTACACCAGAGCCCACACCCCTCATTGTCAGGAGGGCCTTCAGTGGCTGGGCTTATTTGGAAATGGGACTTGGAGCTGGATTGTCCCTGTGCAGGGTTCACACACCCACAGACAGTTAGCTCTGGGAGGGGTCTTAGAGACCCCTGGCCCTGTTCTTACTTATGCAGAGAGAAGGCAGAACCTCCTTGCCCAGCACCCCTCCGGGGACTTCTGGAAGATATTTGGCGAGGTGTTCACGGCTCACCTCCCTGCAGAGGAGAGATCATTATCAGTGCTGCCTGGCCGCCATCAGCACCACAAGGAAATAGGCACGTCTGGTCGTGGGAGTCACCTAACTCATGGCTGGTCATTGGAGGCTTATGGGCAGGGCTCCAGGAATGCCATCTTGCAGGGGAAGAGTGGGCAGGTAGCTGGTCATCTACCCCTGGGCTGAGGCAGGAGGCAGCCAGCTTCAGCTTACGGTGAGTGTTACCCTTCATGGCTGGGGCAAGGAGATGGAGTGGGTTTGGCTCATCTGTCTCTGCTTCCTCCATAGCACAAGGCTGGGCCAATGTGCTGTGTGTGGACACGTCCATGTGTGCAGGATGGAACGAGTTGCCCTCCCTATCATCTCGTGACCTTGCTCATGATACTTAGCTTCTCTGAACCTTGATTTCTTCATCTGTAAGATGATGGTGCCCTTATTGGATTGTTGTGAAGTTTAGGTGAGAAAGGCGTGAAAGTGCTTAGCCTGGAGGCTGGCACAGAGTAAAGTTCAATACACACTAGATAGTAATATTATGACCTCCTAATTTGTAAGCTAGGGAGGCAGTGCCTGCCTTGCAGGGTTGGCTGGAGGATTAAATGAGATGGTCTACATAAATGCTGAGCACAGGTTTTGGCTCATAGTACAGCTGGCTGGTCATGCATGTTAACATCACAAGGGGAAGGTTCTGCCAGTGGAGTGAGACATGGGCTCCTGGATGCCACTTTCTTGATGCACGCTTGAGACTTTTACAGACCCCTTTAATTTTAAATTCTGTTTTGTGGCTCATCTCAATAAGGTGTATCAATTAAGATACTTCCAGCTGCATGTAATGGAAAAACCGAGTTGGAATGACTTAAATAAAAAGGAGGTTTAATTTTGCACGTTACAAGAACAGTAGAGTGATAGTAGAGTTTAGTGATTAAGGCAGAGCTTAGAGCTCAAAGCCAGACTGCCTGAGGTGAAATCATTGCTAGCTGTATCACCTTGGGCCAGTTAATTAACCTCTCTGGGCCTCAGTTTTCACATCTATAAAAGGGACTAGCAATAGTACCTTGCTCACTTGGCTCTGGTGAGGATTAAATGGGTTGCCAAATGCAAAATGCTTAGAACAGTGCCTGGCGCAGGGGAAATGCTATGTTAGTGTTGGCTGTCTATTTATACCAGAGTTGGGATTGTTCCAAGGCTCATCAATTTTGGGGTTCAGTGATATAAACAAGGTATCGATTTTTTTTCCATTGTCTACTTTGCCACTGTCAATGTGTTGATTTTGTCCTCAGTTTTATGCCTTCCTCATTCAAGAAAATTGCAGCTGAACCAAGCATCACTGTCCAGAGCCAGAAGACAGAATATCTCTTCTTTTTGGGGAGAGAAAAACTTTCTCCAGTGGTGTTCTTGACACCTCATTGGCTGGAAAGGGGTCAAATGCCTAGGTTAACTACTTGGGGGAGAAGAGAATGGAATTACTGTGATTGCCCGAGTCTGGCCAAGCTTCATCCTCCTGAAACCACTCGTACTTGGACTAACTTGGAGGTCCGCAGTGAGGAAGAGGGGGTGGGATGGTGAATCACCTAGTAATGTCTGACTCAGGGTAACGGGGTGTGGGGACACAGCCACATAGCAAAGAATCTGCTATCATACCAGGCTCTGCTCTGCAGGGCCTGATACAAGTTTTTGGCTAGTCCTGAAAGCCTCTCTGGTCTGGTGCTGGCTGCCATCTAGTCTGCGAAAGGTGGCTCAGATGGAGGCCTGGGTAAGAGCGTCCAGGAGCTGAACTAAGTCCTTATCTGTGGTGGTGCACATAAATAACAACTTCTATTTATTCAAACTGACTTTCTCCCACTATGATCTAGGAGGCAGATATTATTTTTATATTCATTTGAAGACGAGAGAGCTGAGGCAGGGGGAGAGTAAGTGATGTGCTTTGGCATATACTATTGGTGCCCCACCCACAACCCTTTGGTCCTTCTTGGAGGTCACCTGTAGCCATGGTGGACAGTGGCTGACTTGCTTGTGTGCAAGGTGGCCTGGGCGTGCCGGGAAGTTAATGCCCAGAGTGACAACCCTCAGGAAGTGGGGGAGGGGAGTTGATGGATAAACACCCCAGCTTCCTCACCATTAGGGGACAATTCCTAGCTGTGTTCGGCAGTCTCTTGAGGTGTGTGTGGCAGTAACCTGCTCACAAGTGCATATTAGTGTGGCTTTTCTGTCTTCCTTGTCTGATTTTCATTTGTTCTCATCTGGACTTCCCGGGATCACTTCACCCAAATCCTGGGCTCAGGGGCTGCTTCTGGTATAACCCAAACTAAGGCCCTTGTCCAAGATTGCAGGGTTAGCAAGAGATGGCGCAGGGATACACACCAGGCCAGCCAAACTTGAGCCTGAGCTCATGACCAACAAGCCACTCCTCTTGTCGTTGGAAGAACTGTGAAAGAAACAGGAGAGCCCCAACCTCAAACCCCAAACCCCACTCGACTTCAGCCAGACCAGTGCTCATGGTGGTAGCGAGCTGCCTGTACAGTAACCAAGCCCAGTGTTTCCTGCGGCGAGGGCCTGCTGGGCTCTGACAGCCAGTGGTAGTGGCTCATAAACTGCCTGATGGGATGGGACCAGTGACCCATGAACTGAATCTGAGGAACAATTCGGCCTTCCCCAGCCGGCTGCAAAGGAGCGATTATGGACCATCCAGGAAATAATACATTTCATGGAAAAGACCGTAATTACGGAGTATTGAGTAAATAATATGTGCTTTTTAAAAGTCTGCAATTATGTATTTATCCTATCTGTAATTAGGGAATTTTTAAAGGGCGCATTATAGGTAATTTAAAAATAAAATAATGACACCACTCAAAACAAACAGCCCCAAACAAAGACAATTCAGGCCACCCCAAACTTGGTTCAGTGGTGATTTCAGGGGTAACCGCTGTCCTGGGCTTCTGGGGAAATCAGATGGTCCATGATTGTCCTGGGTGGGTGAGGTCAGCTTGACCCCAATCTTGGCTTGATGTCTAGAAGTTCCTCAGTGCTAACATTCTATCTTTGACTAGCCTCAATCCTCAGAAATCTCTTCCTCTGGTGACAGCCAAGTGACTACTGCGTGTTGGCAGCATTTCTCACTCTTATTCTTCTAGAAACTTTAAGGCTGCCCTGTCTGATGCAGTAGCCATGAGACACATGTGGCTATTTAAATTTAAATGAATAAAAACTTAAAAAATTTAAACACTCAGTTCTTTAGTTGCACTAGATGCATTTCAGGTACTCAGTAGCCACACATGTGTCAGACAGTACAGGCATGGGATATTTCCATCACTGCAGAAAGTTCCAGTGGACGGTGTTGCTTTAGAATCTACAGCTCACGTATGTAGTAGATTGCTTACGTGGTGTAGACCTGGTCTTGAACAAATGCAGTGAAAGAAAGCTTGCTCTTTTTTCTGAAGTTTCTTCCCCACTGGAGAGACCCAACGTTACTTCTCCCTTCTTTTACACGTACTGTTTTATATTGACTTCCCTTAACGAGCGGGGAGGCTTGTCTCATTCATCTTCATGACACCCCATCCCAAGCCAGGATCTAGAATATGTATGTTGGTAGAGAAGCACTGGCTCAAAACTTTTGTGAACATTTTTCTCCATTCCTCATCTTGTTGTTTTGCAGCTCAATGTCCACCTCTGTCTTATCGCTCTTAGGCACATCAATGACAAACTCTTGGCCAAGGTCGTACTGGCATGCTGGAGGTGATGCAGGTGATGATGGTGACAGTTATGATGGCAGTGGTGGTGGAATTGGAGGTCATGATGGGCAGGGTGGTGCTAGAAATGTTAGGGTGGTGGTAGAGGTAGTGGTGAAGGTGATGTTGGTGATGGCGTTAACAAAGGTTGGGCCATGATTGTATCGACATGGTGGAAATAGCTGAGGTGTTGACAATGGAGGTGATGAGGGTGGTGGTAATGGAACTGAGACCTTCTATGTGTGAGACCCAGTGGACACTGGGGTGGAAAGCCAATGCTTGTGGAATGAGGGGATGGATGGGTAGGGCCTGTCCTGAGTCTCTGGCTGGCCAGCTGTGAGTCGCAGCCCCAAGCCATTCCTTCTGAGCTTCAGGCTCCTTTTCTGTAAAATTCATGAGCGGACATTTAATTTTTTAATTAAAAACTCTGATTTTTTTTAATAGTGGATATATTTACATATTTGAAAATAAAAATAAAATGAGAGGATTGTCGAGTGAAATGCTCCTTCTGCCCCATCTGTCCATTCCCTCCCTCTTAGCTAGACACTGCTATCAATTTCCTACATCCTGAAGAGTTTCTTTTGAATGTGTTTACTTTAAAGCAAACACATATGTTCGTTTCCTTCCTTTTGCACCAGTGGTAGCATAGTGAACACACTGCTTTGTGCTTTGCTTTTTAAGTGGTGTTTTAAGCTATAAGATACAAGATACCTGTGTGACATCTGAGATAGTCTCTCTTTTTGAAAGATATACACCCCAAATTCATAAGGTCTTTGAGAACAGTGACTGTGCTCCCTTCTTCTTAGCTGACCTCAGGCCATGCCCATGGCTGGGAATGGCACGGTGGAGCACAGACTTCTGGAGTCAGTAGAGTCACATTCTTGGTAAGCTTGGAGACCTCTGCTTTCATAGCTGCAAAATGGGGACAATAATAGTCCCTGCCTCAAAGAGTTGTGGTTGAGATGAGTTGATTGGAGTGCTGAGTCTGCAGCCCTCTGCTTAGTGTCTGGCACAGAGTAGGTGCTCAATAAATGGTAGAAATGGTGACTCCCTGAGGTGAGTGCCATCAGTGTGTCTGTGAAGGGGTGGGCTGCGGGGCTGGCTCAGAGGACCTGACATCTCCCCTTTAGCTGGTGGGGCTGGCAGGATGAGGTTCTTCTTTACAGCATACCTGGGATCTCATATCTCCTCATGTGTGTTCCATCAGAGAGAAGCTATTCCTGCCCGAGCAGCGGCATGATAGCTGGAAGGAACCTGTTGGGTTGGATCAGAATCCTGAGACAGGTTGTCATGGCTGAGGCTTTGTGAAGGCAGAGTGGGTCACTCCTCAGCATGCCTGCTCCTGCCCCTATTTCAGAGAAGCCATTAGGGAGGGTTAAGAACCTCTTGCCACTGTCATTTGGCTCTACTTAAACAAGTACACTGAAGGCCCTCAGAGCCCACCAAAGCTGCTTTGTGTGCTGGGAGAAGGAGGAGGAGAGGATCCAAGGCCCAAGTGCTTTCTCGCTGTCCTTGGATGCCTCTGGCAAGAGAGAGTGGCGGCCCAGATGGGATGTGCCGAGGCAGACCCTCCTGCAGCTCATCACCTCTTGCCACTGCCTCTGTAGCAAGCCCTCCCTGCTCCACCTGCTCCCAGACCTGTCCCCTTGAATCTGTCTTCATCTCTGTCCCTGGAATCATTGACTTGCAGGTCAACATGGATTGTCTCTCTCCTGGGCTGACCCAGTGCATGGCTGGCCCCGTCTGCATAGTCAGGTTCTCCTACCTTAGCCTGTATTCAAGACTTCCTGTGATGTGGGCTTCAGTGTCTGGCCTGATTCCCCTCTGCCACCTCCCGATGGGCTGGGTTGCTTCCTCCACCCGCAAATTGCCAGCTTGGGCAGGACTGGGAACCAAACAGACACAACATCCAGCGCCTCTTACCCTCTTACTATTTAGGCAGAACTTGCCATCATTTACTCCCAGAGCTGGTCTCGCCTCTTTCAGCTGGCCTTCTGTCCACCTCTCCCTCCTCCGAGCTCCTCCTCATCACTGGGCTCTGAGCCCCAGGTGGTCTGCTGTGGATTATTTCCATGGGTGCCACTTTCCTCAGAAGAAAGAGTATAATGTGCTAGTTAAGAATATGGACTTCATTTTCACACTGTCTGGGTTCAGATCTCTTCCTGGCTGTGGCAAGCACTTCACCTCTGAGTCTTAGTTTCCTCACTTGCCAACAGGAGTAATTGTTCCTACCGCGTGGGTGCTGATTGAATGAAAGGATGCAGGTGAATTACTTAGCACAGAATTGGACATCACGTAAACAGTTGCTACATGTTAGCTGTTAGTATTAGACCACTGGGCTCTGATTTCTAACACAGGAAGAAATAGCCTGACCTTCACCCCACTCATCCCTGTAGGACAGAGGCTGGCCTGGTGGGGGCACTCAGAAGGGGTATCCACAGTTCATTTTGGGACTACAGGAAAGATCCAATCTTTTCACTCTCTTCCCTTCAGGCTCCCCCCAGCCCCATCCTAGTCCACACCCCTAAAGGGATTCCCAGAATTTCGGAACCCTGATCAACATAAACCCTGGGCCCCTCAGGCAGGTGCCAGCCAGGAGTAGTGGATTTACAAGGTAAGGACGTATAAGATGTGACAGGCCTGGAATTAGCAATGCAATTCCTCTGTCATTTTTATCATTGGCCCCTGCAGGGAGGAGCTGATTAAATGGATATTCAACTCTTTGCATTAATGTGCATCCAGCTTCAATTTGCATTTCATTAGCCGCACAAAAAGCATAATTTTATTATTTGCCGTTGGAAAGCAGATCTCTGCTAACAAGCAGCTACACGCTGTTCCTGAAATATGGTGTGACTGACTCGCTCCGCTGTCTAGCTCACCCTGCTATCTTCTTCCCCCTCTGCAGACTTCCGGCGCTCTGGTGAAGGTGGTACATGGCAGATTTGGCTTTATCATGGCGGGCTGTGTTCTCATTCCAGCCCTGGTCCCGCAGAGGGCTCTGTATTTCTCAGGTACCTGGGGAGGCAGGATTGACAGCTGCCATCTTCCTGGTCAGTCATTGTCATCACCACTAGTAACATTAACACTATCAAAACAGTGTTTCCACCCTCATAATACCACCTTCACCATACTCACATTGCAATTATTATCATTATTATTACGTCAGTATCGTCATCACCTCCACCATCACCATCATTATCATTTCCATTACCACCACCCTTCTCACCTCCCTCATCATCACCTCCACTACTTCTATCACGCTGATACATCCACAACCAATATTAACACATCACCATCATCACCTCCACCGTCACCACTCTAATCACCTCCACCATCACTCTGACCATCACTATCACCAATTCCACCCCCACTGCCATCATATCTATTACCATGATCACTTCTATCACCTCCACTGTGCTAATAATATCTTGCCCACAGCTGTTATCACCATCACCATCATCACCTCCACTGCTACTTCCACCACCACCACTATCATCACCTCTACCACCACTACCACCACAGTCTCCACTACCATGACTAACTCCACTCAGCCAAACTAACACCATCTTCACCACCATCACCCTCCTCCCACTACCTCCACATCCCAGTACTTTCACTGGTACCTCCACACTAATCTAATCACTGTCTCTCTCAACACCCTCAGAACTATCACTGCCACCCTCACTACCACTATGATCACCACCCTCTCTGCCACCAACACCACTGTCTCCACATCTTCCATGTCAGTGAGGACCTTGACCATCACAGCATCCACACTGTGTCTTTGACATTACTTTTAAAAATCTGAAAGCACCAGCATTGAAAATTTTCATTGCTGTCAGAGTCCATGGATCTGTGGTCCCTATATGGGAGTGTTGCAATAAGCAGAGTGACTGGAGCCCTTGAGGGGAGCAGGGTCCAGGTGACCAGTGCCAAGGGATCTGGAGAGTGAAGCAGAGGGACAGTACAGTAAAACCACTGGTGGGAGCATGAATTTGGAGGCAGATGGAATTGATCTCTGATGCACCATGGGACCTTGAATGAGCCACTTTTCTGAGCCCTAGTTTCCTATCAGTCAAGTGGGACTAATAATACCCCTTCATTGAGTTGAATATTAATTAAATGACAACATGTGTTCTGAGGATCTGCAGAGTGAAAGCTGCCAGTTCTCTGCCGTGATGCCCTCAGATCCTCTTGGATGTCCTTTATGAGCTCCATGCATCCCTGCCCCAGCGCTTGCATGCTTCTCTCCTAACAGCTTGCAGTTGCAACCTTCTTGAGACACCTGCAGGCTATTGCAGTTGCTTTGCTCAAAGGTACTGAGAACCAGAAGTGTCCCAGAAAGGCCTGCAGACAATGATCAGGAGGCCGGAGTATGAAAGCCCAGCTCTTTTCCTTCAAGGCGGGCAAACTCAGAGATGGAATTTACACTGTAGAGCTCCCTGCAGGATCAGGCCTTGGTGGGGACTTCACCTGTAATTGTATCATTGCGTGGCTTCTTCCCTTCCCTGTCTTGTTTTCCCCACTCCCTTTCTGGGTTCTCCCAGGAGCAATTTCATAATGCTTGCATGTGAATTTTCATGTCAGGTCTGCCTGTGACATGACGCATAGCAGGATTTCAATTCACCATGGTTCCCTCCTCCTCTTCTCATGTTCATCAAGTACATTAGCCAATAGAGGGCTGTCACACATATTGTTCATTGGAAGTGTAAGCTAACCCTGGCAGTTTCTTAGAGTGGGAATTATTACGCCCATTCTGCAGGTGCACAACTGAGACCCATGTGAAAGATCACGGAGTTAGTAGGTGGAAAAGGTGAGGTGTAAATCATGTCTTCTGTATTCAAGTCCAGCCTTCTTCCTGCAGTACCAGCCTGCAGAATTCTCTGAGCTCAGGGCTGGCTTAAGCCTGGGCCGGCATGTATAGATGAGATATGATTCTGGATCAGTTGCCAGGCAGAGAGCTCAGACTCCAATCTTCTTTCTCCCTTGCCTTGAGCACCACCTTCCCACCCCTGTACCTAGAGCACAGCTGAATCATACCACAATGGGATCATCTGGAAAAAACAATGACGTGACTGGTTTAAAAGGAAGACCATGCAGTGAAGGAGACCCTGTCCCCTGCTCACATGCTGTGTGACCTTGGGCAAATTGTGAAATCTCTCTGAGCCCTGGTTTCCTTATTTAGTCTTTCCAGCCACCAGGTGGGGCACGGGCTGTTATCCTCCTAATTTTAGAGCTGGCTGAGAGCAGTAATAGATGTTCCGGGAAGGGGAGGCTCAAGCAGAACAGAGAACAAATGCTCTTGTCCTCTTCTCCCAGTGCAAGAATCCCCTGAGCTGCATTTCTGACAATGTACATCTGGCTATGCCAGCGACCTTGCGCTCTTGCAGAGGCCCTTTCTGGCTCAGGCTACCAGCATTCTTCCCAGAGAGCCCACTGGCCTTCCACTGGGTCTGGTGGGATTCCTGGAGGTTGTTCAGATGACCATGCCTTTCAGGGATTTGAGGACAGCTTCCTGTGCCCTGAAGTCTGTTCTTTCTTAGCCCCAATAAGGGAGCATAAAGTAGCTGCTTACACATTCCTTTCATCCCCAGATCATTCTCCTCTGGGTCTCTGCTCACAGACCTTCCATCAAGAAATTCACTACAGTGTGTTGGAACAGTCTATGTACCTGACTACCACACAAGGTATGCTCCTTAAGGACAGAGATCTCATCTTAGTCTTTAAATCTCCACAGCCCAGCCCTGAATCTGGCTCAGTGGAAGTCCTCAAACGCAACAGAATAAAGTGGACTTTGAAGTCAGGAAGACTTGCATTAAAATCCCAGCTTTACTGCTAGTTAGCTGTGGCGTCTTAGGCTGTTTTTTTTTTGTTTTGTTTTGTTTTGTTTTTTTGTTTTTGCTTCTTTAAGCTTCAGTTTCCTCATCTGTGAAATGGTCTGATAGTATCACTTATTTCACAGGGCTGTTGTAAGGATCAAATGGCATCATGAATGGAGGGTACCAAGTCCTGCACCCAGCCTGCAGTGACTAGCACCTGCTCCCTGCTGAACATGGTGGCTGGGGCTGGACATGGTCCTTGGGGGTGTGATCTGAGCAGCCTGCAGCATTCTGGGCCTTTCAACTGCCGCATCCTGGTACCAGTCTCATGCTTCCTGGTACCCTACAGATGGCTGTCTCCTGGTGGAGTCACCAGGTTGGAGGGGTCCTCAGAATGCCAACAGAACAGAGCAGCCCTGAGCTCCGGCACCTGTCACTGTGGCTTGACTGGATACATATCTCCAGACCAAGGCAAGCATCTCTGGCAGAACCCACTGTGGAGATCCTAAATTGGCACCCCGTAGAGTGAGCTGTCTGATTCTACAAAGGCAGTATTTCTAGGTTTCAAAGGAACTGAATAATTTAAAATGCACAAGACAAAAAGTGGGATTAAGGTGATCTGATAGGCTCTCCAGGCTGGGGTATCAATTATACTCTCAACTCGTAAAGCCTTATTTGTGAGATTCAGAATTTATTATCTGTCTGAAGCACTAATTACCAGGTTTCTCTCTTTTAATTTTACAGGTCTCTTCTCAGATTTATTTTTCTCTTTTTTCCCTCCCACTGGGGACAAATAGCTTCCATTCCTGAAGGGAAGTTGCCTGCTTGGAGATGGACAGAGGAAGATATTTGGGTTCAGCTTATCCCCTCTGGGCACTTTGGGGGAAGCAGCATGGGTTGGGGCAGGAGAACTCTAATGTGTATGTGTTAATAAACTTACTGTTTTCTAAAATTTTGTCAAAGGTATGCATGTTTATAGTTTAAAGAGGTGAAGAGTTCCATGTGGCCTACTGTATTTTTCCTTCCTTGTATAACTTTTATTTTCCTAGGAGCTAATAACTATCTTGTTCTTTTGTTTGCTTGCCTTTCTCTGTACTTATCACTAATTCAACTCCAGAGTCTTTACTGATTGCCTATTCCAATATTTTCACCCACATCAGGTGCTCTATCAATTTCATTGTCCTGAAGAGTTTCCCTGACAGCCTTCTGACCTGGTGCCCTCAGAACAGGCAGCATTCTGTGCCCGGGCCTCGTCTCATCCCGGGATCTCCCTTTATCAGCTTCCTAGGGATGCCCTTCCCTCCTCTCCTGTGTCAGAGTTTCCTGCCTGTTCAGTCTCCATCTATTTTGGTTTACAACTTTGTTTTGTTAGAGCACATCCTCTAATGGCTTCTCAGGAAGAATCCATGGGAGACAAAAATTTTGCCTTTCTGGAAATCATACTTGATTATTTGGTTGGATATAAAATTCAGGAGTGAGTTTTTTCTTTTGAAAATGAACTTTTCACATTATCATTTTGTTTCCAGTGATGTAAATAAGTCAATGCCATTCTGCTTCCTAAGTCTCTTATATATTACCTGTTTTTTCCCCCTCTTATTAGGAAGCTTGTGAGCTCTTCTCATTGTTGCCAGAGATCTGAAAGTTAATCTTGCTGTGCTGTGGTGAAAACTTATATTTATCCATTGTATTGAATACTTGATGGAACTTTGAGTCTAGAAACTCATGCTTTTCAGTTTTGGGAAATTTTCCTAAATTATTTCTTGGATGACTTTCTTTCCTCTGTTTTTTTTTTTTCTTTTATCTCTCTGAGAACTTCTATAGTTTATGTATTAGAATTCCTGAATTGATCTTCTAATTTTATCTTTTTTTCTTAATTTTTTCCCTTTGAATTGTTGTACTCTTTTTTGAAATCTTTCTTCAACTTCATCTTCCAATCCTTTTATTTTTACTGCTTTATTCTTTTATATATTTGATTTTCAAATTATCCTTCATACAGCTCCAGAGAGAGTGTGCTAAAACACTGACTTATCATATTAAAGCCTTACTGGCTTTCCATTTTGCCTACAGAAGTCCTGTGTTTTTGGTATGATCTGTGGGCCCCAGCACATTTCTCCAGAGTCATCACATTAAGCCTCTCCATGTAGCCAATGCTGCATCTGCTCCAGCCAACTCACCATGCTGGATGCATGATGAAAAGACCCTCTTTTAGTCTTACTGGTCTCTTTTTAAATTTATTTTTCCCCCACTGGGGCCCAACAGCTCTCATTCGTAAAAAGGAATTGCCTGCTTAGAGATAGAGGATTTTGCTCTGACGGAGGCTTCCTTCTAGAATGCTTTTACCCTGACTGCTCTCACAGTTGACTATGGTCCTGCCTTCCCCACTGGACTGAGAAGTCCCCAAGGCCAGGAGCTGTTCTGAGCACCTATCAAGCCCCAGGCCCACAGCAAGATAGGTGTTCCATCCACACTTGATGAGAGTTGATGAGTGCTCTCATGTAAACCTCTGGACTAGTCTCCTAACAGGTCCAGGGATGAATCCAACACAATCTCTGCATTCAGCTGATTGACATAAGATGAGGACGAGGGCACACAAAGTATGTTCATGTACACACACACACATACACACACAGACTGAGTCAATAGGTGGTTGATTGCCACTAGTGCATTAAGAGAGGGACACAAAACGTGCAAGGAGAATTTCTGGGAAACAAAACTCCCATCATATCCATGAAAGCTTTCTTACGGGGTGCTGCAGTGCTACCTCTCTGGGCCAGTGTGTGGACCTCAGGTGTCTCTGCCTCCCTAGGTGGGCCTCCCTTTGGTCTTTGCTGCCATCTCTCTGGCTGCTCTGTCCTTCTCTTAAGAACAGGGTAAAACCATTTTCCATTCTTTTCAATACTGAACAGCAGGCTGACATTTGCAAAAATTCTTTCTCTGTAAATAGGAGCAAATCAGGAAGAGCTGAATTCTCTTAGCTCTGGCTAACTTTAGTGCCCGGATGGGGTCCATACTCTGTCCCAAGGGAGCCTGTTTTACTAGTAGCTGCCATTCACTGGGCACGTCCTATGTGCCAAGCACCATGTGAAGTGCTCCAGGTATGTGATCTCATTTAAGCCTCAAAACAGATCTGTCGGGCAGGTATTGTCGTCATTTTATATACTAGGAAGCTGAAGCTCAGAGAGGTTAAATGACTAATTCAAGATCAGACGTCCAAAAAGGCAGAATAAGCCAGGATTCAGATCCAGGTATGGTGATTCCACCCTTAAACACAATAAGAAAGAAAAAAGAGAGAAGGAGGCCACAAAGGTTCTCATTTGGGTCAAGCACGGTGGCTCATGTCTGTAATCTCAGCACTTTAGGAGCCTGAGGTGGACAGATCAGCTTGAGGCCAGAGTTTGAGATCAGCCTGGCTAACTAACATGGTGAGGACCTGGTCTCTACTAAAAATGAAAAAATTAGCAGGTGTGGTGGCAAACGCCTGTAATCCCAGCTATTGGGAGGCTGAGGCATGAGAACTGCTTGAGCCTGGGAGGCAGGGGTTGCATGAGCTGAGATTGTGCCATTGACCTGAGATTGTGCCATTGCACACAGGCCTGGGTGACAGAGCAAGACTCTGTCTCAAAAAAAAAAAAAAAAAGGTTCTCATTGGGAGCCCCTATACAATGGCTCTGGGTAAGAGACAGCTCAGGGGAACGAGGGCAGGGAGGAGGACTACATGGATCCCATGCAGCTTTTGTCCCTGGACCAAGGCCAGACAGAGATGTGACCCTAGGAAATGACAGCTTTTGTGGTGTGTCGGCTGGGGCCCCTGGTGAGGTACTGGATGTGGCTGGCAGCGGTTCTCACTTTGTGGCTGACTTCATCAGGCAGTTGCAGAGGAATGGGAAGACTTAGTTAGTAGTGCAGTCTGAAGGAAGGAGCCTCCGAGACTGTCCAGCTGATCTCTTTGCTTCATTCACCCCAGAGGAGGCAGAGGCCCCAGGAAAGGAGCTGACCTCTCTAAGCCCACATGGTGCATGGGGGCAGGGACTGGCCCATGGACCTGATCTCCTGTTGTCTATCCCAGGACTCCTCCCACGGTGCGTTGGAGAGGCATTTCTGGCCCCAGAGAGCAAAGAGCTCTACCAAGAACACGGCTCAGAGAGACCAAAGAGAACAAGAACCATAGAAGATGACATGGGAGACTAGGATATGATTCAGGTTATTCTAAAATGCCATTTGCATTCTTAGGAAAGAAGTGCCATTTAATTACTCTATGTGCCTGATAGCAACTCCAACAGCCAGAGAAGATGTACCCTAGGAGGCCTTTCATGGTGGAGACAGTCCTCATTCTGAACTTCTAAAAGGATCCCAGCCTTGATGCTTGAACACTGCTGGGGGAGGGTCAATTGTCACACCATTATGAGAAACAATTAGGCATTATCCAGAAAAGTCTGAGAAGCCCACACCTTATGACCCGGAGAGCCTTTGGAGTAGTACACAGAAAATCTCTTGGACCCGTGCTCCAGGAGGCACAGGTAAGAATGTTCGTGCCACATTACTGAATACAACCCAAATGCTCATTGCAGTAGAACGGATCAGTAAACTGTGTATGTTCATCCCACGGAGAATGAGCGATCTACAGCTACATGTGAATAAATCTCAGGAATGTAACGTTGAGTGAAAAGAGCAGGTCTCAGAAGAATACACAGAGCGTGATTTTATTTATGGGAAATAAAAAGACACGCAAAACTACTGTTTAGGGATACAAATATGTATAGTAAAATTACAAAGAAGGGCAAAGGAGTGAGAAGAATAAAGTTCAGGATGGTGGTGTTTGTGGTTACTGCTCTAGGAAGGGAAGGGACTAGAATCAGGGGGATCACACAAGGCACCAAAATGATCAAGTTCAGTTTGTTCAGCTGGGTGGTTGGTATATGGGTGGGTTATGGGTATTCTTATTCATTTATATATATTTATTTTCTTTTTTAAACTTCCTTTTATTTTTTTAGAGATGGGGACTTGCTATGTTGCCAGGCTGGTCTCGAACTCCTGGCTTCAAGCCTCATAAAATGTTGAAATTACAGGCGTGAGCCGTTCCACTTGGCTTTTTTATTTTAGCCTTACATATATTTTATAATTGTTATTTTGTGTTACAATAAATATGTAACAGATTTCAAGTGTGGTTGTTTTATAAAATAACAGATAAATAAGCAAAAAATATAAGTTGCTTATTATCTCTCCTCTAGGAGACAAACTGATATGGTTTGGCTGTGTCCCCACCCAAATCTCATCTCGAATTGCAGCTTCCATAATTCCCTCATGTTGTGAGAGGGAGCCAGTGGGAGATACTGGGTTCCTCCCAGTACGGGAGTATTCCCGCACACTGTTCTCATGGTGGTGAGTAAGTCTCACAAGATCTGATGGTTTTATAAGGGGAAAACCCTTTCGCTTGGCTCTCACTCTTCTCTTGTCTGCTGCCATGTGAGATGTGCCTTTCACCTTCTGCCATGATTGTGAGGCCTCCCCAGCCACGTGGAACTGTGAGTCCATTAAACCTCTTCCTTTTGTAAATTGGCCAGTCTTGGGTATGTCTTTATCAGCAACATGAAAACGGACTTATACACAAACACAGTGAAAATGGACTAATACACAAACACAGGCCATCTTTTGGTGTGGGTCATCCCAGGCTTTTATGGACTCATTTTATTTGTTCAATATTTGCTGATTTGCATCAGTCTCTACCTGTGGGTGTGTCCAGGCTGAGACAGAGCTGGGACTGGCTGATTCTTCTGAGGCTAGACCTAGTTTTCCTCCTTTCCCATCCCCAGCAGTTGTCTCTGTAGGAGTGGAGGGACTTTCTTTTTTTGTGGTTGTATTTGGAGAGAAAGAGCTTTGGAGATTTTTTTTTTTTCTGGAGCACATAGATGGGACAAGAGGGGAGACCCCTGCCTGGCCTGAAGAATTGGATTTTGGCCCTGATGAAAGAGGAAATGGGGCAGAGACTGCCTGAATGGAGTTAAGAAAATGCCTGGGGAGACTCTGAGCTCAAGGAGGCCCATGTTGGGATCCAGGGCCAACACAGCATCAGGTCAGTGCTAGAACTGAGTGACAATATGGGATGGGGGCCAGGCAGCAGTCCCTCAGTGGTGCAGTCCTCGACAAACCAGATGGATGGCCCTGTCTGCAGGTGCCTCCTTGATTAGCTCACAGTCCCACAGGAGGGCCAGCCAGACTTGTTCTGAGCACAAGAGGTGCCTGTGGTGTCTCTCAACAACAACTTGGGGAGATTTTCCAAAGGAGGTGATAACGCTCTGCAGCTAGGCAGTTAGGATCCAGAGCTACCAGGATTTGAATATAATGCTAGTATGACTACATTCATATGCACAGCTGTCACTAAATAATATTTTATTAAATAATTTTAAATGGTTGCCATATTATTCTGTTGTTTGGATGCATTGAGGTTAGTTTATCTGATCCCTTATTGTTGGGATATTAAGTTGTTTCTCTCTATAAGCAATTCTGCAATAAATGTTTTTGAACATTTGTGACTATTTCCTAAGAAACATTATTAGAAATACGCTTACTAGGGTAATGGATTTGCAATTTTTTTTTCAGGTTTCTTTCCTTTTTGCTGAAGGGTTTGCAAAATTTTAAGGATTTTGATGTAAATTGCTAAAATGTCATCCAGAAGGAATATGTGAATTCGTATTTACCAGCGATAAGTAAAATACCTGTTTCCTCACACTCTTGCCAAGATGGAATATGATTTTAAAATATATTTTGCATATTGAAGAATCATAAATTATGATATCTCATTTTCATTGTTGCATTTCTTTGGTTTCAGAAGAAAGTAAACTTTTTTCATGTGTTTATAGGACATTTAATTTTTTGGCATTATCTGTTCATCTTTTGCCATGTTTTTCTATCTGGATATTCGTATTTTTTCAATACAATTTGAAGCACTGTTTATACGTTGAGATTGTGACCCCCTTTTTTCTTTTTCAGGGATAAAAACAACTAGTGTATTGATTTGGGGAGGAGAGAAGGGGTGCAGATGGGAAATGGGGAGGCAAGGGCTCTTTAGTGTTTCCCAAAACCACTGCCACACCCCCTCCACCCTCTCTTGCCTTCCTCCTCTATGGTGGGCCCCAGCAGGCTCTCCCCCTTTCCAGTGACCTCCCTCTCCCTCCTCTCTGCACCCCACTTGGCTTCAACCTCTAGTGACTGCACAGAGCCCACCTGGGGTCTAACGCTGGGGAAGGCAGCTCGAACTCACCTTTCTTTCCCCTTCTTCCACCTCCCACCTCATTCCCGTCTGTTGTCTAAATAAAACACAGAAAAGGAAGCACAGCTGGTACCAGGGAGACTCATCCCAGGGCTAGGGGTAGGGGTGGGAACTGGGGGCAAGGCAGGCAGAGGAACCTCAGCCCAGTGTAGTGGAATCATGGAAGGACAGGCCCGGGGGTCCGGCTCAGCCATCCCCCTCTCTTTCTCTCCCTCCATCTCGGAGGCTGGCCTGGCAGTGGGCCTGCTATTTGAGGAGGCTGTCAGGGAAGCCTCCATGCCTACCTCTCAGGAACCATGTGTGACCCCTTTTCTATCTTGTGTTTTGCATTTTTTTCCCGTGTGTCAGTTACATGTTTATGGTTTTTTTTTTTTAACTTTTATTTTGACTGTTTATTTATTTTTTCGGAAACAGCATTTTGCTCTGTCTCCCAGGCTGGAGTGCAGTGGCATGATCTCGGCTCACTGCAACTTCCACCTCCCAGGTTCAAGTGATCTCCCACTTCAGCATCCTGTGAAGCTGGGACTATAGGCGCCCATCACCATGCCCGGCTAATTTTTGTATTTTTAGTAGAGACAGGTTTTTGCCATGTTGGCAGGCTGGTCTCGAACTCCCGAGCTCAAGCAATCTGCCTGCCTCGGCCTCCCAAAGTGCTGGGATTACAGGCATCAGTCACTGCTCCCAGCGTTTACTTTTATTTTGAAATAATCTCAAGCTTATAGAAAAGTTGCAAGTATTAGCTGGGCATGGTGGCACGCACCTCGAATCTCAGCTACTCAGGTGAGAATCGCTTGAACCCAGGAGGTGGAGGTTGCAGTGAGCTGAGATTGTACTATTGCACTCCAGCCTGGGCAAAAGAGTGAGACTCTGTCTAAAAAAAAATAATAATAAAAAAAATAAAGCAAGAAAAGTTGCAAGTAGAGTATAAAGAACTTTTTTTTTCTAAACCCATTTGACAGTAAGTTGTTGACCCAATGCCTCATCATCCCTGGATACTTTAGTGCACATTTCCTACAAGCAAGGACATTTTCTGACATAACCTAATATGACCATCAGTATCAGGATGCTGACCTTGTACATGAAGACCAACTATTCCTCAGACACCATTCAACTTTTGCCAATTGTCCCAACAATGTCCTTTGCAGCAGAAAGATCCGGTTCAGAATCACATTTGCATTTAGTTGTCATGTCTCTTCATTCTCCTTTATCTGGGACAGTTCCTCAGGCTTTCCTTGACTTTCATGACCTTGGCACTATTGCAGAGTACAGGTCAGTTATTTTCTTGAACATCTGTCAGTGGGTTTTTCTGAAGTTTTTTCAGGACTTGCTTCAGCTTATTCATATTTGGCAGGAATATCAGAAGTGATGCTGAGTTCTCCTTGTTGCATCCCTTCATATCACGTGGGATTTTGATTTCTCTCCTTACTGGAGAGTGAAGCTTTGATCACTTGAAGATGGTTTCTGCCAGTTTTTTCCACTGTAAAGTTACTTTTTCTCGTTTGTAATTAATACTTTTTTTTAAATGAAGAGGTACTTTGAGACTGTGTAAATATCTTGTTCCTCCTAAACTTTCAATTTATTCATTTGTATATTTTGTCTATATAAACTCATGGATTTCTGTTTGATGCAATTCGTTATAATCCATTAATATCATTATTTATTCTGGTGCTCAAGCTGTCCTGGATTTAACCAGTAGGTGCCCCTTCAAGTGGGCTTCTGTATCTCTTTGATTTTGTCCCCATCATTCTTTGAACATTCTTTAATTTTTGGTAAACCAAGGTACTCCTCCTTAGCTTTGGAATCAGCTGTTTCTCCAGGGAGT
The DNA here is from genome assembly GCF_000001405.40 of Homo sapiens. Classification (NCBI taxonomy): domain Eukaryota; kingdom Metazoa; phylum Chordata; class Mammalia; order Primates; family Hominidae; genus Homo; species Homo sapiens. The sequence goes on from NC_000010.11 coordinate 78,241,872, forward strand.
CCTTGTTCCTTTTAGTGGAGAATGGTATTTAGAAGACAAGATCTGGGTCCTAGGTGTGCTCATTACTATTGGAGTGCCACAGCTCCAGCTCCCAGGTTCTCTCAGTGGACACACACGTAAGCATACATTCACACACTTGCATCTATTTTATATATATATATATATATATGTACTGATATGGTATGGCTGTGTCCCCATTCAAATCTCAACTTGAATTGTACCTCCCAGAATTCCCACATGTTGTGGGAAGGACCCAGGGGGAGGTGACTGAATTATGGGGGCCTGTCTTTCCCATGCTATTCTCGTGATAGTGAATAAGTCTCATGAGATCTGATGGGTTTATCAGGGGTTTCCACTTTTGCTTCTTCCTCATTTCTCTCTTGCTGCTGCCATGTAAGAAATGTCTTTCATCCTCCGCCATGATTATGAGACCTCCCCAGCCATGTGGAACTGTAAGTCAGATTAAACCTCCTTTTCTTCCCAGTCTTTGGTATGTCTTTATCAGCAGTGCAAAAATGGACTAATACAGTAAATTGGTACCAGTAGAGTGGGGAGTTGCTGAAAAGATACCTGAAAATGTGGAAGCAACTTTGGAACTGGGTAACAGGCAGAGGCTGGAACAGTTTTGGAGGGCTCAGAAGAAGACAGAAAAATTTGGGAAAGTTTGGAATTTCCTAGAGACTTGTTGAATAGCTTTGACCAAAAGCCTGATAGCAATATGGACAACAAGGTCCAGGCTGAGGTGGTCTCAGATAGAGATGAGCAACTCGTTGGGAACTGGTGCAAAGGTGACTCTTGTTATGTTTCAGCAAAGAGACTGGTGGCATTTTGCTCCTGCCCTAGAGATCTGTGGAACTTTAAACTTGAGAGAGATGATTTAGGGTATCTGCAGAAGAAATTTCTAAGCAAAAAAGCATTCAAGAGGTGACTTGGGTACTGTTAAAAGCACTCCATTTTAAAAGGGAAACAGTACAAAAGTTCAAAAAATGTGCAGCCTGATTATGCAGTAGAAAAGAAAAACCCATTTTTTGAGGAGAAATTCAAGCTGACTGCAGAAATTTGCATAAGTCGCAAGGAGCCTAATGTGACTCCCCAGGACCATGGGGAAAATGTCTCCAGGCCATGTCAGAGACCTTCACGGCAGTCCCTCCCATCACAGACCTGGAGGCCCAGGAGGAAAAATTGGTTTCATAGACCTGGCCCTGGGTACCCATGCTGTGTGGAGCTTAGGGACTTGGTGCTCTGTGTCCCAGCAGCTCCAGCCATGGTTGAAAGGGGCCAACGTAGAGCTTGGGCTGTGGCTTCAGAGGGTGGAAACCCCAAGCCTTAGCAGCTTCCACATAGTGTTGAGCCTGTGGGTGCACAGAAGTCAAAAATTGAGGTTTGGGAACCTCTGCCTAGATTTCAGAAGATGTATGGAAACACCGGGATGCCCAGGCAGAAGTTTGCTGCAGGGGTGGGGCCCTCTTGGAGAACCTCTGCTAGGGCAGTGCGGAAGGGAAATGTGGGGTCAGAGCCTCCAAGCAGAGTCCCTACTGGGGACCTGCCTAGTGGAGCTGTGAGAAGAGGGCCACTGTCCTCCAGACCCCAGAATGGTAGATCCACAAACAGCTTGCACTGTGCACCTGGAAAAGCCACAGACACTTAGTGCCAGCCTGAGAAAGCAGTGAGAGGGAGGCTGTACCCTGAAAAGCCATAGGGACGGAGCTGCCCAACACCATGGGAACCCACCTCTTGCATCAGCATGACATGGATATGAGACCTGGAGTCAAAGGAGATAATTTTGGAGCTTTAAAATTTGACTGCCCTGCTGGATTTCAGACTTGCGTGGGTCCTGTAATCCTTTTATTTTGGCCAATTTCTCCCATTTGGAACTGCTGTATTTATCCAACACCTCTACCCCCCATTGTATCTAGGAAGTAACTAGCTTGCTTTTGATTTTACAGACTCATAGGTGGAAGGGACTTGCCTTGTCTTGGATGAAACTTTGGACTGTGGACTTTTGGGTTGATGCTGAAATGGGTTAAAACTTTGGGGGACTATTGGGAAGGCATGATTGGTGTTGAAATGTGAGGACATGAGATTTGGAGGGGCCAGGGATGGAATGATATGGTTTGTCTGTGTCCCCATTCAAATCTCAACTTGAATTCTATCTCCCAGAATTCCCATGTGTTTTGGGAGGGACCCAGGGGGAGGTAATTGAATCATGGAGGCCAGTCTTTCCCATGCTATTCTCATGACAGTAAATAAGTCTCATGAGATCTGATGGGTTTATCAGGGGTTTCTGCTTATGTGTCTTCCTCAATTCTCTCTTGCTGCCACCATGTAAGAAGTGCCTTTTGCCCTCTGCCATGGTTATGAGACCTCCACAGCCATGCAGAACTGTAAGTCAAACTAAACCTCCTTTTCTTCCCAGTCTCAGGTATGTCTTTATCAGCAGCGTAAAAACAGACAAATACATATACATTAAATCATATTTGCTTAATTTTAAATTGTTGCCATAATGGAGTAAATTTGTAAAATAATTGTTAGTGGTTATCATATATCTATATATACACAAGGTTGGCATCTGTGTAAGATGGGACAGGAGCCAGGGTGGGGGCAGGAGGCACTGTGGGATGTCAAAGTTCCTGTTAATGCCTCCAATTCTGATCACATGCCATAGGGTATATTCTGCCTTTCTCCCTTTCCATTGTTGTAACAGTCTTTTTTTTTTATTATTTTTATTTTTTTTGAGACAGAGTCTTGCTGTGTTGCCCAGGCTGGAGTGCAGTGGTGCAATCTTGGCTTACTGCAACATCTGCCTCCCGGGTTCAAGAAATTCTGCTGTCTCAGCCTCCCAAGTAGCTGGGACTACAGGCACCCACCACCACACCTGGCTAATTTTTGTATTTTTAGTAGAGATGAGTTTTCACCATGTTGGCCAGGCTAGTCTCGAACTCCTGAGCTTAGGTGATTCACTTGTCTTGGCCTCCCAAAGTGCTGAGATTACAGGCGTGAGCCACCACACCAGGCCATTGTTATAACTGTCTTCTGTGACAGTGAAAAATCTGGCTCCCATCTCATCTTCTGTAATATATTTAGTCATTTGATCAATACCTTGTATGTAACCAATCCCTTATCACTGCCATTGCCCTAGGGACACCCTCCCCACCAGTGTATTAGAGCTGCCTTTCTTATCCTGTTCTGGCTCCAACACCCTGTGCTGGGCCACCTCCTTTCATGGATACCTCTTCAACCTACTCAGGCTGTGACACCCCAAGCTGGGCTGTTCCCTACTCCTCAGATGCCCCCTTTGCACCACTTGGGCTTGGCCACTCACACTGGGCCACCACTCACCCTCATGTATGGCCCCTTTGACCTGCTTAGCCTTTGACACCCCGTGATCGCCTCCACCCCATGATGTGCTCCAGTGCCCCAGTGGCTGCTGTCTCATTTTGCATAGATGCCAACCTTGCTTAATCCCACGTAGTGGCTTCTAGCCTAAATTGTTTTGGAAGGAAAGGGAAGAGTATATGTGAAATATTTTGATGTACAGAAGTTTTACATTTTAAAGAAAATAAACCTATTGACCTTTCTCTTCATGTTTTCTCAATTTAGCTCTATACTTAGGTCTTTCCTACCCATCTTAACTTGGGTCCCCCAAAGAGCAGAACCTGTGACAAAGGCCTATCTGCAGAGTTGATTTTGTGATTGGCTTCCAGGGAAGAGGAGTGGGAGGCTGGAAAGAGGGAGACAGGACAGGAGGGGAGGCCAACACAGGGGAAATAGGGGTCAGTCCTGCTGGGGTCCTGTCAGGAACTTTGGAGAACATGCCTCAGAATTGGCTCCCTGGCAGAGGGAAGAAGGTTTTTATTTCACAAGAATCAAAGGCTTCCCTGGGGGATGTGGACTGCTTGCACTCCCAATATTGTGCACACGGCAGAATGGCAGAGTTGGTCACTGACAGCAGGTATCCCAAAGAGCTGGGCCAGAGAAGCTGGGAGCAGAGAGAGAGGGAGATGTGGCATGGCGGGGGTGGTGAAACAAAAAGAGGAGCTGACAGGGTGTGACATGCGGCATAAAAGATGTCTGGCATGCAACTTGAAGATAATGTGAATCTTACTTCATATTTCATTTTAATACTCTATTTTTTAAATATTTAACCTATCTGGAATTTTATTTTATTTTATATTTTTGAGATGAGGTCTTGCTGTGTTGCCCAGGCTGGAGTGCTATGGCACAATTGCAGCTTACTGCAGCCTCAAACTTCTGGACTCAGGCGATCCTCCCACTTCAGCCTCCCCAGTAACTGGGACTACAGGCCTGTACCAACATGCCTGGGTAAAATTTTAAATTTTTTTGTACAGACAGGGTCTTGCTTTGTTGCCCAGGCTGGTCTTGAACTTCTGGCCACAGATAATCCTCTTGCCTTGGCCTCCCAAAATGTTGGAATTACAGGTGTGAGCCACTGTGCCTGGCCTGGAATTTATTTTAAAGTGTGGTGTGGGCTGGGCGTGGTGGCTCACGCCTGTAATTCCAGCACTTTGGGAGGCCAGAGTGGGTGGATCACGAGGTCAGGAGATCGAGACCATTCTGGCTAACACAGTGAAACCCTGTCTCTACTAAAAATACAAAAAAAAATTAGCCAGGCATGGTGGCAGGGGCCTGTAGTTCTAGCTACTCGGGAGGCTGAGGCAGGAGAATGGTGTGAACCTGGGAGGCAGAGCTTGCAGTGAGCCCAGATCGCACCACTGCACTCCAGCCTGGGTGACAGAGCAAGACTCTGTCTCAAAAAAAAACCAAAAAAAAAAAAAAAAAAACCAAAGGACCAGGCCCGGTGGCTCACGCCTGTAATCCCAGCACTTTGGGAGGCCAAGGCGGGTGGATCACAAGGTCAGAAGATCAAGATCATCCTGGCTAACATGTAAAAATACAAAAAAAAATTAGCTGGGCATGGTGGTGGGCACCTGTAGTCCCAGCTACTTGAGAGGCTGAGGCAGGAGAATGGTGTGAACCTGGAGTGTGCAGTGAGCCGAGATCGCGCCACTGCACTCCAGCTTGGACGACAGAGCGAGACTGTCTCAAAAAAAAAAATCATGTGGTGTGAGGTAGGGATAGAATTTAAATTTGCTCCCTAGTAGGTTGGTCAGTTATCCTCAAGCCATAATTCACTGAATAGTCCATATTTTCCCATAATGACATGAAATTCTATCTTAAAAGTATATTAAAGTTTAAATATATTATGTATTGAATCTGCCTCATTGTTCCGTCTGCTAATTTTTTTTTGCTAGTACCACACTGTTTTAATTATTGCAGATTTAGAATGCATTTTAAAATTTGCAGAACAAATATCCCTTTAGTGATGTTCTTTTTTCAGAAATTTATTAGTGAGCAGTAGAAGTTTATTTTTCTAGAGGATCTTTTGAATTATTATTGTAATTTTTATTCTTCTTTTTTTTTTTTTTTTTTTTTTTTTACCTTCCCAGGGGGAAAGGGCCTGAGCTTGTACATTCTTCAGCCAAGTAGCAAACCTCTCTTTCACAGATGGTCAGAATACATAAAATCATATGATATAAAGACACAGATGGTGTGTTCCCACTCACTATGCTGCCCGCCTTTTAATTTTACTCTCACTGCTGTCCTGTGACTTTAGGAAAGGGCGGTTATTGTGTACAGCACAAGTACAAGGCTTAGAAAATATTTTTTTTCCCCCAAAGGCACACAAATAAATATTAGACATAGAACTGAAATGCCTTTTTGTGTTCATAAGACTTCTTAGAAAGAATGACAGTCTAGGAATTAAAGTCTGTGCTTCTAATGGGAAATCCTTGGTCCTGATGTGTTTACATTGAAGCAACTATTTTAACTGAGTCTTATGAAAGACCTTCTTAGGAGTGACAGGTATGAGCTATTGCAACAAAACATAGTGTACAATCTTATGTGAGGGTCTTTAAATAGAGAGCCGGTTATAAAGACTGTGTCCCTGATGTGTGGGGCTGGTCCTCCTCCCCAGCAGACCTCACCTCCCTGCCCTTTCAGCATCCCCTCCTTGGCCCCAGCTGATGGCTGATGCTCCCATTGGTCTCTGTGGTGCTACCTGCCACTGGCCTGCCAAGACCTCAGACCCTCGCTGTCTCCTTGTCCCATTTCCCCTGAGGCTTGTGGCTGGTTCTGTGGTTATGACTGAGTTGGCCCTTCTGACATCCTGATCCAGACACTTCCCAACCTAGGCTGTCTCAGCTCTCCAAAAGCACCCTGAAAATAAAAATGGAAAGGAGTTTGGCTCCTTGGGTGAGGTTGTTCCTGCTCTCCCTAAGACACTGTTCTTTTCTGTAAATTTCACCTATCTGAAAGAAACAGAATGCTTCTTGTTTCTTGGTGGGGAAAAGTAACCATAATGGAATGCCGCCTTCATGCTAGGCATTTTACAGGTCACCCCATTTAATCTTCACAATTCTATAGGAAGGGATGCTTGTCTCTGCTTTAGAGAGGAGGAAACTGAGGCCAGAGGGTTTATGGAACATGTGCAATGTCATGTGGAATGTTAATAGTGAAGCCAGGGCCAAAACCGAGGTCTGCCTGAGTCCAAGTCCAATTCCACAAACATGATGTTAACATACTCCTCGGTGCCAGGCACTGTGTTTTAGGGGCATAGCTGCCTCCCTATTGTCAAGGATTTTGAGCAGATCAGATTTGAGGACCTTTTTTCGATAGGTCTATATTTTTCTTACAGCCACTCCCCATTTTAAGCGCATCGTGAGTAGGCTTTTGGAGTCTGATCTATCGAGCTGGGTATGTTTGGAAAGCTACAGAGCAGTAGCCATAGAAAGACTGCGTGAGACAGAGTCCTAGCCTATCTGTCCGGCCAGTCGAACCTCATGTGTTCGCTGCTTTCATTTTCCCTTGGCTGAGGAAACGATGGTTTGGTTTTGCAAAGGAATGCTGGGGACTTCTGCCAGCTTGCTAACGGCCTTGCCCCATTCAGATGCATCGAACTCACAGAACATCGCTCCCCAGCTGCTGGCTCGCGGTTCTGAGAGTGCCTGAATAGAAAACCACTCATTTCCCTTCGCAAAAGAGGCGCCCAAAGCAGATATTTCAATATATTCCAATTTAGCCGAGGGAAGCCAGAACATGGATGTTGTTGCCAAGGAAACCACCTCCTTCCTCCTGTGTGCTGTGCATACGTGTATCACTTCATCTCTCTGCTCTCCAAGGTAATATCATAGCTCCGTGCTTGGGGAAGGGTTTTTAAAAAGGCATATAAAACCTCTTAGCATCAAGAAGATTCATTAAATGATCTCATTCCAGAGAAGCTTAAATTATTCTTTTTAGATCCTTTTATGCTGAGGATGGGGAAATGGCTGAGTCAGTGCTATCTCTCGCAGCCCAGCTTGGTGTCTTCGTGGAGACAGTTTTTCAGAAATAAACAAATCAGAGTTCGCAAGCTTAGACAGGGCGAGTGTGTGTGTAATAAGAACGAGGCCGTCATGTAGCTGTAATGTCACGGTCTAATCCCTCCTAGAGGATCTGCCAAGACCACCTTGATCTGAGGGCCTCCTGGGTGTGAGGCCACATTGCACAGGGCAGGCTTCAAAGTGGAGACAAGAGAGGGTCGGTGTTGCAAGGCCACCTGTCAAAAGATTCCTTGTTCGGGAACTGCGTGGGGATTTCTGCTGCCCAATCTGTTCTCAGACCCACTCCTGGGCTGTTTTTGTCCTGCCTTGGTGTCTGGTCTTGGGTCCACCTCTCTCTCCTGGACGCTGCCATCACCCCCTTCATTCCCACCTACCCTATTCTGTATGTTAAAGTCAGCACAATCGCCCTCATGCCTTACAACCCAAGAGACAAACTGGAGGGTGCACTTGGTAGTCATCTGAGAGCTCAGTGGGTGGCCCCGACTTTCACACCTTCTTCCTCTCAGCCCCTCCTGGTTTTTAGGGCTCAGATTCCCCCTTGCCCACTGCATATGCAGATTAAATTTGGCTTCTCTCTTTCAATTAGTGGCACTAGCCAAGAATATTGGTTTATATTAGTCATTCCCAGCTGGGGGGCAATTTTGCCCCCCAGGGGACATTTTTGGTTCTTATTTCGAGGAGGGAGTCCTGCTGGCATCTAACGTGCAGAGGCCAAGGACTCTGCTGAAACAACTTACAGTGCACAGTCCAGGCCTCTAAAAACAGAATTATCCAGCCCCAGGTGCCAATAGTGCTGTGGTTGAGAAACCCTGGCTTATACTTATTCTCTTTGCTCGTTGATGTAATAAATATTTATTGAGTACCTACTATACACCAGGCTCTAAGCCAGCAGCTGGGGATGTGAACTGAACAAGACAGACATAGCTTCACTCACTTTCTCACATAGAGCCAATTGGGAGACGTTAAACAAATAATTACAATGATACAAATAAATTATTATTACAGCTTGAATCTAGATCTGACGTGGATATCCTGCCACAGTTCCGAAGTCTACCTAGTGCCCCAGCCGAACCTGCCCTGGCTCCTAGGTGGGGTATGGACATCTGTGACATCCCTCCCCAACACCCCACCAAGCTGGGCTGCAAGACGGGTTATGGTGGCCCCATGACTTCCTTCCTTGGTAAGCCACAGGACTTCCTTGTTAACTGCTTTGCTGTTGGTCATTGCAGAGAAATAGGGAACAATAAAAACAACCTGAGGTGTGGCAAAGGCTCTAGGACTGCATCATCTGCTGAAGCTCCAGTCCCTGCGCTGCATCTCCTGAGTGGCATCTGTGATGGCAAACAAAGGCTCCTTGGGCTTCACGCTCTGCTTTCTTTCTAAGTGGTACTTACCACCCGCTGCATCCCAGCCTTCTTCTGACCAGCTTCCTCTTCTGATAGGCTTATTTCCATGAAGTTTTTCAGAGTTAGAAGCATGAACTTTAGAACCAGATGATCCCGGTTGGAATCCATCTCTGGCACTTGCTATATGACCTTGGATAAGTTACTTAACCTTTCTGTGTCTCAGTTTCTTTTTCTATAAAATGGGCATAATAAAATCTATCTAGCATAGTTATTGTAAGGATTAAGTAAGTTATTATATGCAGAGCTCTTGGTTCACAGTTAGTGCCATTTAAGCCTTTCTGTCATTCTTACTGTTACCATTTTCCTGGCATGTCAGTCTGATGATGCAGACGAGGCAGGAACTTTCGTCTCTGCCTCTCGTGGACTGCCCAATCAGCTCCACGGAACTCAGCCATGCCTGCAGTGCTGCAGGCCTCGCTTTGGACTGCTGGAGGCTGAGAAGTCAATGGATGTTGCTTGGGCATTTTGGGGGGTTTCCTTATGCAGGAGGAAGATGACAATCATTGTGGAAGCAGAAGGTTGTCATGGAAATGCACCTGTTCCAAGTCATTGCACCCTGGGCTCTGGGCTGGCTCTGCACGGGCCTGCCATGCACTGACTTCAGCTTCATCTGAGTCAGTGGAAGGCTGGACAAAGGTAGACATCTTTCCTCACTGCCAGCCTGCCATTGCGGCTTTCTGTCTCTGGTGTGAACAGGCAATCGAGCTTTCCTGGTCTCCTGAGCTACTGTGAACGTGGCAGAAGATAGTGGACTCTGAATAACATTGGAAACAACTACTTCCTGGACGGCCACTGTGTGCATGGCCTGCGGGAGGGTGAGGGCAAGAGGACTGATGGTTACTGGGAATCTTCTTCATGGCCAGGCTTCTGTGTGTCCTCTCACTTAATCCTCCAACAGCACTGTGAGGAAAATACAGCATCCCACCTCACAGGCGAGGAAGCTTAAGTTGAAGGAATGTTAAATTGCCTGCTCTGAGCCTCACAGCCGGGAGGTGACAGCCCCAGGATTGGCGGCCAGGGTTTGTCTGCCTTTAAAACTTATGTCATGTCCTTCTGTGTTATCTCGGTCTGTACAGGCTGCTACAGCAAAATACCATAGCCTGGGTAGTTTATGAACAACAGAAATTTATTTCTCATAGTTCTGGAGCCTGGAAGTCCAAGATCAAGGCTCTCGCAGGTTCAGTGTTCGGTGAGGACCCACTTCCTTATTCATAGACGTCCCCTTCTCACTGTGGCCTCACAGCAAGGGGTCAGGGTTCTCTCTGGGGCCTCTTTAAATAGGGTCACCAATCCCATTCATGAGGGCTGTACCCCCATGACCTAATCCCCTCCCAAAGGCCCCACTTCCCCATACCATCACCTTGGGGGTTAGGATTCTAACATGAATTTTGGGGGGACACAGGCATTCTGATCATAGCATATGTGTAGTTGCTCCTGGCCCGCTGGGGAAATCACCGTCTCCAAGCATGGCTCCCATCTGGTTACCCTGGGTGGCCAAGGTCAGCAGAGGTGCTTTGCCAACTGATTGGCACCCACACTACTTCTGTCCAGGTGGGCTGGGGCGAGGGTTGGGTCACAGTGGGACTCTGTGGGGCTCCGGGGACTGTCAGCTGCCCCGGGGCTGGAGGTCCTGCTGCTCTGTGCCCATAGGCACCTCCTGGGAATCTGGCGACTTGCATCAGGGCCCGGAACTCACCCTGACAGTTCTTTCAGCTCTTGTCTTTTCCTCCCCTACCTACCTGCTCATCTCGCTTTCACACACAAAGCCTCCCCTGCACTCCCCGCTCCCCTCCTCAATCCCTTTCCCGGCTTTTGTACTTTATGATGCCGTGACTTGGGTGAGGAAACTCATTAAAGTCATTATTCCGTGCACAGAAATGTGTCTTTCATCCCATTCATATTTAATGTTCCTCCCACTTGATCTTTTGATGCTTTTTAATTCTTGATATTACATGACATACACACACAGCTCTCGTTGGGAATCGTTCTTTCTATAGAGTTGTCATGACTGCTCTCTGTGTGAGGAGGGCTCCTCCTTACGTATTTATTAATTTCTAAAATGATGCCTGTATTTTGGGATTGATGCTGTCTGATGCTATTGACTTTGAATGATCAAGGGTGACATTGGGATAAGAGGAATTGTGGGAACAGGACAGAGGTCTGGATTCTTCTCATGACTGTTGCTTTTCCTGCCTGGAGGCCAGGTGTCCATCTGTGAAATGGGCAGATGCATGCCTCATGGCCTAATCCAATCCCTGCATTTGGCATCCGTTGGGATTTTCTGGGGTGTAAACACCTGGTTTAAATTCTGTCTAATTTGCTATAAAAAGGAATATTTTAGGAGGAGATGGGGCTACCCATAGAATCACAGAAAAGGCTGAGAAATTGGCTGTCTGAGGGACAGATAACCAGGGCAGCTGCAGGGACCTGGGAGCGGGCTCCCTTCCGGCTCCGTGGTGAAAGGAAGGAGACCTAATGGCTGTCAATGGCTCTTTTCTCAGCTCAAGATTTAAATTCCAGTAAGTGAACATAGAATTGGCTCAGCTTGGGTCCCATGCCCAAGGAGAGGGCGGGGTGTTTTGATTGACAGTTATATTGAGATCTTATCCAATGAGGGCCAGGAGTTCCCCCAAGGTTAAGAGGCTGTTTTCAGAAGAACGATGGATTCTGAGTAGAAGAAACAACAAATGCCCTGAACACATCCCAAACCATGGGGAGGCAGTGAGACCATGGACAAAAAGAGGAAAAAGCAGGTTCTTCGGGTTCCAAATCTCTGACAGAGAGAGATACATTTCTGGGCCTCAGAGATTACCTTCTAATTCAGGAGGAGGCAAACTTTCTCTGGAAAGTGTCAGAGAGTAAATATTTTTGTCTTTCTGGCCCACATGACTTCTGCCATGATACCGTGGAAGTAGTGGTAGAAGACATGTAAATGAATGGGTGTGGCTGTGTTCCAATAAAGCTTTATTGATAAAAAACAAGTAGCAGGGTGGGTTGGGCCTGCAGGACACAGTGTGCTGGCCCAGGTTCTAGTTGACAGCTTTCACTTCTTAGAGAAGTTCCTTTCCAGCTTTAGCAATCCGGGTAAGACAGTGGTTCTCCGATGTGGCTCTACTTCAGCAGACCCCAAGGAGCCTGTTGAGAATACAGATGCCTGGGGCCCACCCCAGCCTTGTCAAATTGGAATTTCCAAGGATGGGCCCAAGGATCTGTATTTTTAACAGTTACTCCTAGTTAGTTCTGAACTACACAGTGTTGTGAACTGGTCTTCTAAGACCCAGTGGAGCAGGTAAGACCATCTTCCGTGAAATGTGGATGTAGTAGAGAAACTGGGGAGGGCTTAGGAACTGAGAGGAGAGGAAGGCTCTCCAGGGTTGGGGAACAGTGTGTGTGTAGGGCAGGCTTCCTGGAGGGGCCCATGCTGGCCCTAGATGGGAAATGGAGCTGTCCCAGCACTAACCTAGATTTTCCTAGCTCTCATCTCATTCTCTATCCTGTGGTATGCTATTCACAAGCCAGAGGGGAATTGATGGAAAGTCCGGGTATGAAATCTGAGCCATGCAGTTCCCTGCTGTGAGGCAGTAAGGTCTCAGAAAGTTTTCTGTTTTCATTATTTCGAAAAGGCTGCACCCATAACCCAGCCCTATTTCATGGCTTTCCTCCATGGCACCCCTTTCCCCTTGTCATCGTTCTTCTTCCTCCCCTACAGACCTGCTTTATCAGAAACTTCCTTTCTCCTTTGCCCTGAATGACCCCCACCTGTGCCTCTTTCTGATACTGACCTTATTCTGGCAAACCCAGCTCCTTCTTGCTGTAATTTTTAATGGGAATAAGACTGCTGGGAGAAGCCCTCTCCCATCTCTTTCAGTTTTCCATGTTTTCTTCCTTAACAAACACCCCACTCATAAAACCTTTGGGGTCTTTTCTACTGAGGGTTGAAGCCTGTAGATGCTAGCAGAGCAGCTGCACTGTAAAGAGGGAGGTGGGTTCCTAGGGGGTGGTCCTGGGCCCAGAAGGTTTCTGACCATCATCGCTCTCCCCTTGGACCTAAACAGGGCTCTTTGCTTGTTACAATAGTAGGCATCCATTGCCTGCCCAACATTCACCTCCCTTTTCTGGCAGCAGAACACCTTTTTTCTCAGGAATTTACTCCATCCCCACTTTGAGTCCAGGTGGATTGGGTGGATTAACTCCAGGATGGACATGGACCCAGGCCTGGCAAATCAGTGCATCGGATTCCCCTTGGCCACAGTAATTGGTTCAGGGTTGGGTCTATGGGCAAAGTCCATGCTGGGTCTTATATGGGGTTGTACAGAGGAAAGAACTCTCTTTCTGGACTTGCTGTCAAACTGGAGTTTTTGGAGTCCAAGTGGGGAGAGTGTGCTGAGAGTGAGTGTAGTACAGGGGAAAAACAAAGCCAAGATGTGCACCAGAGAGAGGATCAAAGAGTGAGAGAGAGAAAACAGGTCCAGAGGATGGGGTTTGAGCCTCTGGATCCAGCCGGACCTGAAGCCAGAAGACCTACATGCAGACTTGTCTACTATATGAAATCTTACATTCTCTTTCTGGATTAAGCCAGCTTAAGCTGCAACTCAGAGTCTTGACTGATAGTTGACTTGGTGCTGGGAAGATGAGTCTCTCCACAGGGATGCCTGAGCCACAGGGAGACTGCCGTAGTCAGCTGTGAGCTCTTTCTTGTCCTATCAGCACAGCCCAGATGAGTTCTCACCAGGAACAGGTACACAACAGTCATAAACTGACAGGGTTAGTCATAGGCCCGTTGTGCTCTGAAAGCTTTGTCAGAACAGACACACATCATTTGTCCCCTTCCACACCCCGCTAGCAGCTCTCAGCATGGTCCTCAGTGAATGTGCTGTTTGTCCAGCTGATTGAGGGGCAGCACAGCCTTCCTCACCACTCAACAACTGCCTGCACACTCTCCTGCCATCCTGGTCTTGTCAGTATCACCCCACCGACCCAGTTTCCAAGTTAGAAGCCGTCGTCCTCTGCCTCTTTGATGTAATCCAGCCTCTTACTGCTTTTCCATCTCCACCACCACCTGCTTAGCTCAGACCTCAGCCTTTCTTAGGAGGAAGCCATTTGGCTCTGGAACTGACACCTACCCAGGTTGGCCTCTGTTCCTTACCTGTGAAACGGGGATGGAGCACTACACTTGAAATGTGAAATGTCTCCAAGGATTTGGATGTCAGGGGAATGTAATGGCCCTTTGAGCCATTATATTCAAAAGGAGCAGAAGAAAGACACAAAGTCACCTGCAAGAGGCAGTGGCCCAGAAAGCTTAGACATCACCTCCTGAATGTACATGAAGGCCATGTCCATCAGAAGGGAGCCTTGGCAGCCAATAGGAGCACAGAAAATGAGGCAGCCCAGAGGCACGCTTTCCTGTGGAATATCTGGACTGCATTATGGGCTTCTGTCAGTTGTGAACAAGAACACACTAGAGCCTGATGCCACTGGCTCCTCCAGCAATGTCCGAAAGCGTTGACTTCCTGTGTTTGCTAGCCAACAGGGAAAGAATGTGCTGGTCAGGCAGTGCAACCGTTTGCAATGAGTAAGCTGGCATTTGGGCTTTGTTCATCGTCCTTGTGAGCTATGAGTCAGCATCTTGGAGACTGTGAAGTCTGGCCATCAATGACACTGCATTTCTGGTTTGCAGGGCTTGGTCAGGCCCTGACCCCAGGTTCTCAAGGTCAGGAGTGTATCAGTGTGATCTAAGGGCTCTACGCCCTGAGATTCTGATTGATGAGGTCAAGTGGGACCAGGCCCTTCTACTGAACAGCTCCTCAAGGAGGCCTGGTGCACAGCCAGACTGAGACTCAGGGCCTGTGCATGGTTACCGCACCTCCCCTGGCTGCCTGTGGACCCCCTTTTCTGCCTCCTTTGAGCCTTTTCGCTTGGTGTTGCTGATTGACTTTCATGTTCACTTGAGTAATTTACATGGAGCCTGCTTTAATTCTCCTGAGACCCCCTGTAGGCTTTCATGAAATTAAACCCTCAACAACGACATTAGAGAAGGAAAAAGGGCCTCTTTATTTGGAAGTTGTGAACAAAAAGAGAACAGAACTGCTGGCAGTTGTTCTTCATCTGAATCTTCTGCTTCTGGCTCTGTAGTTGGATCTTGTACCACCGGGGCTTTGCTTCCAGGATGGGGTGACTTAGGGTGGATGTAATTGTCATGACCTTCTGGGGGCCAGGATTTGGCCGGAATGACCACCATTCCAATTACTTGGCTTTTTGCTACTGGAAAGGCTGTGAGTTGGCTCTCTAAGGATTTCTAAATGACTAAGGCTGAGCACAGAAGCAGCACCCCAAAATCCTGTGCACCAAGGTTGGGGATGAATCCTCCTCTGATCCTTCTCCCAAGACTTCTGGATCAAGAGTGGGTTTCATTCATTTGGCCCCTCTGAGGAGACAAGTGGAGAAAGGAAGTTCTATTTACTACAGGGTCTGTGACTTTATGCGACTTAGAAGGGTACAAGTATGATAATTGTAGAAAGCAGAACATCACTCTGGCTAGGCTCTGTTGACTTGGACAAAATCATCTCTAATCTATGATACATCCTGAGCCAAACTATACTCACTGTTGGAATTGGGGACATCATTCGCATGGCCTCACTTCTGTTGCTTGTTTTGCCCTCTAAATCTCTGCTATCACCTTCACCTCGTTGACTTTGCAGTTAACTTCTCTTGCTGCTTTGCAGAGAAAATAGAAGATGTTAGATGGGGACACCAACCTTTTGCTACAAAAGTCTGAATGTAAAAACATTGTCTGCCTCCTTGTCCTGGTTTCACTGGCTTCTGACTGACCAAGGCTAATGGAATCACATGCTCCTTAAGGGTCTAAAGGGTCCCACTCATTGCTCTATCTTCAAAGCCATTCCCATCAGGATTTAGGTATGTCTGCATCTTGTCCACATTTACAATGGAGTTCTTTCTTCCCTTCCCTTTGCAGCTTACCCACTAGCTTCTGCCTTATCACTGTCTTCCCAACTCACAGTCAAACTTATTGAGAGAATGAGCTATACTCCTCCCACACAGTCCTGCATCTATTTCAACAGGGTTTCTGCCTATACTCCTCCCAAATGGATCTGACCATGTTACCATTGCCCTCCACGTTCCCACACCCAGGGATACTTCAGTCCTTACTTTACTTAAACCTGCAGAAACGTTTGACACCCTCAACAGTTCCTTCCTGCAAACATCTTTCCTTGGTTTTCATGACACTGAATTATTCTGATTTTATTATCCCTCCTCTTCCCTTTCAGTCAGGGAATATTCTCCCTCTGCCTGTTCCTTACCTCAGTGATTTCTGAGGTGTCTAAAAATCATCCAGGGTGGTTGCTAGAATGCAGGTCAGATCTCAGCCCCAACACCTCATACAGGTGCATCATGACTTCTCTTGACTGCTTAGAGTAAAATGTGGGAAGAGAGAAGCAAATTAAATATAGAATTTATACTCAAAAGGGAAGCAGAACTCAAAGAGTTGGAGAATTCTCAGCCTGTAACACCTGAAAAAATGTGTTCAGGAGACAGCATCTACAATGTGGCTAAGCGACTGTTTGATCAGATTAGTAGGGACAGAAAGAAGCCAGATGCTTTCCATCAGGACACTGGAAGAACGGCCCTAAAGGTATTTTGGAGATCTTCAGGGCTGCCACATCCATCACAGGCCCAGAGTGCCAGGGCCTTGAGGGTGGTAGAACTGTTTCAAGGGAGGGGCTCAGTGTGCCTGTGGGACCTTGGGCTTGCTGCCCAGAGCCACCTCCAATTTTTGCTTCATACTTCTGGTGCAGTGCTCTTTAGCCACCCCAGCTGAGGCTCAAGTGTGGCTCAAGAGGGCCCTGGTACAGCTTGGGCTGCCACTTCAGAGGGCACAGGCTGTCAACCTTGGTAGCGAACCTCAGAGGCCCAACCCCTGACTCGTTGTGTCCAGAAGGCAGGACATGGAGTCAAAAAATATTCTTCTCAAGCTTCAAGATGTAACACTGTTTGCCTTGCTGGGTTTTGGACTTACTTGGGATCTGTTACTCCTTTCTTTTTTCCAGTTGCTCCCTTTTGGAATGGGAACATCTATCCTATGCCTGTCCCACCATTGTATTTTGGAAGCACGTAACTTGTTCAGTTTCACAGGCTCACAGGTAGAGGGCAGTTTGCCTCAGGATGAATCACACCTTTGAGTCTCACCCATATCTGATTTAGATGATATTTAGATGAGACTTAGGACTTTAGACTTTTGAGTTGATGCTGGAACGAGTTAAGAATTTTGGGGCTATTGGGATGGAATGGATGTATTTTGCATGTGAGAAGAACATGAATTTTGAGGGGTCAGGGGTAGAATGTTAAGGTTTGAATGTCTGTGTTCCCCTAAAATTTGTGTGTTGAAACTTAAGACCCAATGTGATAGGGTTAAGAGGTGGGGCCTTTAGAAGGTGGTAAGTCATGAGAGCTCCACCCTCATGAATGGGATTAGTGTCCTTTTAAAAGGACTTGAGGGAAGCATCTGGGCCCCTTTTGCCTTTTGTCCTTCTGCTATGTGAGGATGAAGCAGCAAGCCACCCTCTTGCAAGCAGAGTTGATCAGCTCTTACCAGACACCAGATCTGACGCTATGATATTGGACTTCCCAGCCTCCAGAGATGTGAGGAATACATCTCTGTCCTTATAAATTACCCAGTCCCAAGTACTTTATTGTTGCAGCATGAATGAACCAAGACAAGTCCACTTTCTATCTCCAGCCCAGTCATTGCTCCTGAGCTTCAGAACCACATATCCAACTACCTACAAGATACCTTCTTGAGGATGTGCCAGACAGTGGAAACATTCAAAGCAGAACTTCTCATCATCTCCATGCTTGCTGTCCCATGTTCCTCTTCCCTGTGACTGGCACCATTGCCCAACCAGTTATGCAAGGGAGAAACGTCGACTCCTCCTTTTCCACTGCCCCCGCCAAAGACCCAACCAATCTTCAAGTCCTGTACATTCTAACCCCTATGTAGGTCTTAAGTTCCCAGTTGCTTTTCACTTCCACTGTTCCTGCCCTGTCCAGGGCCCCCCAGATTTTCTACTGGATGGGCCTCTCCCTGGGTTATCTGCCTCTAAGTGTGCCTTCTCCCACTATTTTTCACATGGTGACTTAGGAACAGTTTCAGTCTGACCTTGTCACTCTTCTCCATTCAGGCCTTGAGTGGTGTCCTATTGCTTCTGTTTGGACAAAATCCACATCTTAGCCTGGCTCCTCTTCTGTCTCTAGGTATTTATCCTCCAGGATAATCAAATAGCTACTCCACTAGCCTGGCTCAGCACCAGAGCTAGGCAGAAAATTCAAATGATTGTAGCACAGTTTACCAAGTTTCTGTTATTGAGCTAAAATAAAAAGGGTCAGCTTGTCCAGTTGGATTCATAAGAATCAGAGATCTCAACCAGTACTAAGCCTTACTAATAACTGCAAGGATACAAATAATTGTGAGGCCCGGGTAAAGTGTGAAGTCTGAACCACAATACAGCTCCCAGGACTTTTTTGCCACATTAGGCTGTGCCCTGGCCCAGACTTATCACTAGGGGTCTCTACGTGCTACACGCGAGCCATCCTTCTTGAAAGCGTAGCTATTTGGGTCCTGAAACATCTTCACTTTTTTCTCTGCTAGTTTCATAGCTTGCACAACATTTTCCAGGGAGCCATCTGACATAAATCCATAGGTTCCAGGTTTGTTTACCGCGAGCGGTTTTAGGCAGATAGGGCACGTCTCGCTAAAAGCATTCCATAGATAAGAGAGCTTCTGCTGGCCAACATCATTAGAGTGTTTGCCAGAGGCTCTGTCCCTGGAAGGATTATGAGGGGATTTGATGGGGTCATCTTTCTGTCTTGCCTGGGGTGTCTCTCCTACAGGTAGAGAATGAACTGCAGGCATACAGCTGACCCTCTCTTTCCCCGTCCTGCTCTGCCCACCTCCAACATGCTGGTGCTTCCCAGAGCTCTGACCTTGGTCTCTTCTCTTCTTACTCTACATGTGTAATATGGAGCACCTCCTCCTCCTCCTCAGCAGCTTCCTTTCTCTAGACACAGAGTCTCCCAAAGCTACCTCTTTTACCTTTCAGCTTCAGACTCACATATTCCCCTGTTCATTGCTGCCTTAATGTCCTCCAGTCCTCAGACAAGCCCATTGGGTCCTTTCTTCCTTTCAGGGCAATGACATGCACGCCCACCTGGTTCTCATGAAACCTTGAATCATCTTGGTCCTGCCAGTTGCTAGCTCTTTGTCCTAAAGTAAGTCAGAGAGGAAAACCTCTATGAACCTAAGTTTCCACATATGTAAGGTGGGCATAATAGCCATATCTGCTTCACAAAGCTGTTGTAGGATTAAACGAGATGATGCCACTAAGAGCTTATGGCAGTGGCTGGCACACCGTAAGTGCTCAATAGTTACTGGAAGTATCTTTGGTTCCACTCCCATTCCTGTGGCTACTCATTACTGCATGTTACAAGTTCTAGCTTCTTCTTAAGGCCGCCTTTCCATTTTCACCGCCCTCTCCTCACCTCTGCCTTCACCCGTGACAACAGTTTTGGAACTGGCCTCCTCTATGCAGCTCTCTCTGATCTCCCCTATTCTCTGTAGCCAGAAAAATCCTCCTCCATTATGCACCTGATTATGTTAGTGCCTTTGAAGACTGTGTTGCTCTTGGGAGAATTCCAAACTCCTTAAAGTGGTTTAGGAGGCTGGCTATGATCTGACCGCTACCTGTCTCCCTGCAACTCCTCACCTCAAATGCTGACCACTGGGTGTGCTGAACTTTCAGCTCTTCTGACCCGCAGGATTTGGCAGAGGCATCCCCACCACTTGGAGCACTCTCTTCCTTTCTCTCCAGCCCTCCAACTCTCTCCCATGCTTTGCAATGCTCGCTCTGCCTTTCTCCCATCAGAGCACTTTCCAGCTGCGTGGCCATGCTGGGTTGCATGCCTGGACCCCTCATGGGAATGTAAACTTCAGGAGGGCAGGGGCCGTGGCTCACAGTTGTATCCCCAGCACTTAGAACAGTGCCTAGCAGATGGTAGGTCCCCAGTAGCAAATAATCTGAGTCAGTAAGTGAGTGGGCAAGATGAAAGGGGGTGGGGTGGGGAGCAAGAGGGAAATCTTGAGTCTGGGGTTTCTGGCTTGAATGAAATTGAGATGGGCAATCTTCAGGCAGGACTTCTTGTTGAGGGGTCATTGTTTTAATGAGTTCTTTGGAGTAGATGGGCCTAGGTGAGCTTGGCAGTGGGCAATGGAGATCAGGCCTCTTGAAACAGGTTTATGATTTGACAATTAGCATGGGAGATGGATCTCCTTCCCTGCCCCATCCTCAGCTGCCCTCACAGCCTAGCAGGGTTGGGGCAGAGCACGCGCCCACTCGGGGGGTGGCCATGGTGTAGGTAGGCTTCACAAGGTTTCTTTCCTCTAACATTATCTTGGGCTCTGCATGGGACAGAGATTTCACCTAGGTCTGTGAATCCTGCAACAAACTAGTGCTGTAACCCTTGTGACTGGCAGGTTTCTGTCCTGTTTCATGTGGCCTGTCCCTAAGAACCCCTTGTTGGGGATTGTTTGGGCTGTGGGTGGGTGGGGTATTCCTTGCAGCCGTCTGTAGGAAGCTACTTGCCACTACTCAGTAGTTCCTAGGCAGGAGGCTGTAGTGCCCACTAGGGAGCCATGAAGGTGAAAAGTCCCCATTTCTCAAAGCCAACTTTTGCCTTCCTCCCCAAATCAAGCACAACTTGCAACTGTGATGACCTTTTAATCGATTCTATATTGAAGGGTCTGGAGGAAGGAGGGGAAGGGAAAGGGCAGAATCGGGCCTTGTGCCTTGCTTGGGCATCTTGCCCCCTTGACCTGCAGAGGGGTGACAGGGCTGTGCCTGGGTCCTGTGGCCGCATGGAGGCTCCCTGCATCTTTGGAGGGTCTCCTGAGTTACTCCACCCTGCAGAGTAATGAGGTTTCTCTCCTCCTACTCCTGCATCTTGCAAATTCTGTTGTCATCTGCTGACTGTCAGTGGCTTTCCTCAGCCCATTTTCTGCTGGCTCTGCAGAGGGAGGCTTGATTCCACTCTGAGGGGTGAGGCTGGAGAGTGCTGGGGAGCAGGGAGTACAGAGGCTCACACTTTAGGCTGGGGCTGATTTCTCCTGAACCATCAGCAATCAAATCTGCCTCACCACTGTGAGAATTAATTCCTTCTCAAGCTCCCCTTCAGATAGGTGAGAAATCCGTGTGCCTCCTATTAACATAATTGTGACCCCGTTTCTTGTGAAATGACAGCCCTGGTCTGATTATGCTCAGGGAGCATCCACAGTCTGTGTCCTGGGCTGCGTGACGAAAGCTTCCTCACATTAACTGGCAAATGAACAGTCCCACAGTCCACATGGTCTCTGGAATCTGCAGACAATGGCCACGTTTTATCTCAGCCATAGGATGGGGTCAAGAAGAAGTTCCAGTGTAGCCCACCACAGCTAGTTAAGTACACGCCCAGCAGCATTTTAAATGAGCGGGGGAGGAGCTCTGCAAAGGCGTGGCTGGAAGGACAGTAGGCTTGGAGCTGGGGGGCCTAGGCCCAGCCTGCCATTTGCTAACTGTGCTGTTGGGGTCAAATCCCTTCCTCGCAAAGAGAGCAGAGGGCTGGTCCGTTAGACCTGATACTTGCTGATTCTAGGCTATCACTGAGTACAGCCTTAGAACCTGTAAACTGGGTTCCCATTTTCTGTGTTGGAGGAAGGGTCTAGAAAACTCTCTAGAAGACAGAGTTAAGAAGTCAAATCAGTGGTTGGATAAAGGCCTTTCCTCAAAATACGACACTGCAGAAGGCACCAGAGGAGCTCTCCTCCCTGGAGGCAAGGCAGTGGGCTGAGCTCAAAGCCTAGCCTGGCCATGTGCCTAGTTGGAGGCCCATGGAAGGCATCTGGGACTGGGGATGAGACAGTGTGTCTGTTTCCTTGTTGAGTCACTCTTGCTCATCAAATATCTATCGACCACCTCTGATGACCAAGTGGCATGAGAGAATGGAAAGAAGTCTATAGTCAGGGGAGCTCCATGTGCACCCAGCTTAATCACTAACTGGTGTGGGCCTGCGCAAATGGCTTTTCACCCCAGCGATGTGGCCATGCGCCCTACATGCCTCATCCTGTGAGGATGAATGAGGCAGTGTTCCTGACACAGAGTGGGACTCCCCCCCAATCCTGCGCCCTTCCCTCTCTCTGTGTGCACAGCAACATTTGAGACAGCACAGAGGACACTGAGGCCATTCAGAAAATGCCACTGTCTTTCAGCATGAACAGGCCCGTGGCAGGGCAGCTAGTGTGTGTCCAGAAATGCCATTGCTGCAGAGTGGAATTAACCAGGGTCCCACGGCCTGGGGACTCAGAGGAGTAAGAGGCCTGAGCAGAAAGAGTTTTATGGATGGTGCTGAGTTGAGCCTAGACTGGCTTGGCACTTGAAGGAGAAGGAAGAAAGATCATTTCAGGGCAGAGAAGAGTTTGGGTCAATGCATGGGTGCACAGAAGCTCAGAAAAGAAAGCAAATCTGTGTGGTGGGGTGTGTGCAGGTGAACACTCCATACAAGATGGTATTTCTGTGCAGGCACATGGAGGGAGGGGTGTTTGGGTCACAATGTTTTGAGCACTGGGGAGCACGGATGGCATCTGGGGGTGCTAGCCTCAGCTCTCCACTTATGGTGCAGCATGTTGGGGTAACCTTTTCTTCCCCATTCTTCTCCAGGACTAGACACCGTTATTCAGTTCTCTAGTATTTTACTTTTTGTTAGCTCTTATGCAGCAGGGGAGCTGCACTGCCTTGGTGTTGGAATAATTGTCCTCTTGTGACACTGTAAACCACCCATGCACCAGCCTTCCCACCCCCCCGGTCTATTGTTCTCCATAGTGCTTCTCTTCATCCCTGCACCATGTGTTTACTACTTTCTGTTCCCCACATTAGAATCTCAGCTCTGTGAGGATGGGGACCTCACCGCTGGGTTTGCTACTCTACCCAAAGCCCTTAGAGGACTGCAGCAACCAGTAGGCTTTTGTTGCATATCTGAAGAATCAATGAGTGAATGGCAGTTGGATGGATGGCTCCTTGATCACCTGTCGTGGGGCAGATTCATGTGGCAAGATGTCAAGTAATTCATCCAAGCCCGAATTCACATTCATTCGAGAACTTACAATGCCCAAGAGTGGGTGGTAAATATTGTAGGATGCCCAAAGCTCCCAAGATGATAAAAATGACCCTGGAGTTATACTAAGGGCCACCCTGCAGGCTGCCCCCTCCTGTGCCTCCTGATAATCATGGCTTGTTGTGGGGTGTTAACTGTCACGGTGATGGCAGGGCTGAACTGGAGCTCTCACAAAAGGAGAGTGAGTTTTTCAGAGAGCCTTGGTTCAAATGAAGTCTTTTGAAATAAGATCAAGGAGTATACTCTTTTCCCATGGTGTTGGTAGGTGTTAAGATGTGTTAGACTGTTTGCATTGCTATCTGAGGCTGGGTAATTTATAAAGAAAAGAGATTTATTTTTGCTCACGGTTCTTCAATCTATCAGTCTATACCACATAGCACCGGCATCTGCTCCTGGTGAGGCCTTAGGAAGCTTCCAATCATGGTGGAAAGTGGAAGGGACCCAGTGTATCACAAGGCAAGAGGGAGCAAGGGAGAGGAGGAGGTGCCAGGCTCCTTTAAACACACCATCTCTTTCTTGAACTAACAGATTGAGAACACTCATTACCTCAAGAACGGCACCAAACCGTTCATGAGGGATCCAACCCTATGGTCCAAACAATTCCCACTAGGCCCATCTCCAACACTGAGGAATCACATTTCAACATGGGATTTGGAGGGGATGAGCATCCAAACCATATCATGTGTCAGTAACATTTCCTGAACTTCAGTAAACACCAGAACTGATTGCTGTCCTCTGTTACTCAGGTCCATGTGGGACCAGGGATATTAAAAGGAGGGAGGATCCTGATGGAAAATGCAGCAGAATATCAATGCTTATGAATAGACATCCGATTTCCTCCCCCACCAAGTGTGTGGGACCGCTCTGTAGATAGCCTTCCCCCTCACTGCCTGAGGCTATGGGATTCCCTGCTTGGTATCCAGCCCCATGCTATGCCCTGAGGTGGTCTTGGAGGTCTTTGCTGCCAGGAGTTCACAGCTAGTTAGGGAGGTAAGGCACAAACCAGGTCGAGACAGGTAGAGGAGCAGGATGGGGCAGCAGGAGGGTGCAGGGTCAGGGTGGGGAGGTCACAGAGGCTGACTCCTGAATGCAATTGCAGAGACTCGAGATTTAGAGCAAATTTTTAAAGCTTCTTCAGACTATGAGCTTCTTCACAAGGTGAGGGAAGAAGAGAATTCCAGGCAGAGAAAACAGCAAGTGGAAAGGTGAAAAGGCAGTGTGTGTGTGCATGTGTGCCTGTGCATTGTGTGTGTGAGAGCATGTGTGCATGTGGGCCTGTGTGCACATGAGCATGTGTGTGTGTGCGTGTCCATGAGTGAACTGATGAAGTTTCTGGACAGTGATGTGAGGGAGGTGGGAAGGAGGAGGGAGGAGGTGAGAGGAGAAGGAGCTGGTGAGGGAGGTGAGGTCCAGGCTGTGAAGGCCTTGAATTTCCCTGGACATGGCAGCAGGCCCCTGAAGGGTTTAGGTAAGTGCTAGTGTGATCATTTCTATTTTAGAAAAACAATACTAGCAGCTGAAGGCCGGGCGCGGTGGTTCACGCCTGTAATCCCAGCACTTTGGGAGGCCGAGGCTGGCGGGTCACCTGAGGTCAGGAGTTCAAGACCAGCCTGGCCAACATGGTGAAACCCCGTCTCTACTAAAAATACAAAAATTAGCCGGGCATGGTGGTGGGCACCTGTAATCCCAGCTACTTGGGAAGCTGAGGCAGGATAATTGCTTGAACCTAGGAGGTGGAGGTTGCAGTGAGCTGAGATCATGCCATTGCACTCTAGCCTGGGCAACAGGAGCAACAATAGTCTCAAAAAAAAAAAAAAAAAAAAAAAGAATAGATTAGGAGGTGAGGCCAGAGGCAGGGCCACTCACTAGCAGGCTGTTGGAAGAAGCCAGAAGAGGGGGTAGCAGGAGCCCCATCAAGGCTGCGGCACTAAGGATATGGACAGGGGATGGCTGGAATGGCCATGGCCTGGTGACTGATCGACTGGTGTGTGAGGAGAGGGCCTCTCAGGAGATAAGAGTCCAGGGTCACTCCAGGGTATCTAGTCTGCTGGCAGGGAGGGGACGAGTGGGGACATTAACCAGGATGGGGCCCCTGGAGGAGACCTAGTCCCAGGGCGGGGTGGGGACGATTTGCAGCCCTGGGTGGGTGGGAGGTGAGATCACCGTATGGTATTAGGTGTCCTGTTCTGGGCCTGACCCAGGTTTGCTTGGTAAAGCCTACTTCTGGGCTCTTTCCTCTTCCCCTTTTCCTTTCTGCTTCCATTCCCTTCCTCCCTGGTACAGTTTCCCAGTCTCCTCCCTTCCCCTTCAGCAGCGATCTCAAGATAAACAGCTGGGGAAGAGGAGCTGTGGAAACGTCCAATCAGGGAAGGTTATTAACCCAGGATTCTAATTATGGTGTTGCCCTGTGTCTCTTGCATGGTAACAAGCCAGCCTCAACTGCTTGAGCTAAGAGCAAGCTCAGTGTTTCCTTCAAGCAGCATCGTGGACAGATTCCTGCCAGACCCTTCAGAGCAAGCACCCCACACCCCTAGCCCAGGGTCTCTTCATCGATAGGGGGTGATCTGTCTGCCCCTCACTGTTTTCTCCAAATAGGTAAGACCGGGTGGCCAAGCATGTGATTGGCAGCAAAGTGCACATCAGCACAGCAGCCCTGGCTTTCAGCAGCTGAGGTCAGCTGTTGAGCCAATGCATTTTATTTATCTGCCTAACTGCCACCATGACCTCTTCTGGGAGCCCTGGGCTGGGGTGGTGCCCTCACCTCTGGTATGGAGGAGGGAGCCCTGGCCCAGGGGACCTTTCTTTGAGTAACTGTTCTGTGCAGGGCTCTGGGCTCAGTGCTGAGATGCACCATGGATCAGACAGAGGCTCACGGACCTCAGCCATTTCTTTGGCATGAGGTCATTGCAGCTCAGAGGAGGGGCTGTTGCCCTTAACTGCATGTGTCTGTGTGAGTGGAGTGGGGAAGGTTCAGAAAGGTTGCTTCTTCTTATTGCTCGTTTCTAAGTTGCTTCCAAAGCCCCCGATGGGCTTCTCAGCTCTCTCAAGAGGAAGGCAGAAGAGAG
Organism: Homo sapiens; assembly: GCF_000001405.40. Lineage (NCBI taxonomy): Eukaryota > Metazoa > Chordata > Mammalia > Primates > Hominidae > Homo > Homo sapiens. The sequence continues at coordinate 78,267,957 of NC_000010.11, forward strand.
TCAGAGAGAGATGGGACAATGGAAGCACAGGTTGGAGGGATGTGATTGCTGGCTTGAAGATGGAGGAAGGGCCATGAGCCAAGGAATGCAGGCGGCCTCAAGATGCTGAAAAAGGCAACAGAACAGATTCTCCCCTAGAGCCTCCAGAAGGAGCGCAGCCCCGCCAATACCTCGTTTTTAGTTCAATGAAACTCATTCAGACTTCCGATCTCCAGAACTGTAAGATAATAGGTTTGTGTGTGTTCAGCCACTAAGTTTGTGGTACTTTGTTATAGCAGCAACTGGAATCTAATGTCAGGGGCCAGATTTCAAGATGCCGTAAGCCATGTCAAGGGGTTTGGATTTTGTTCTGTAGGGCTCAAGGCTTATCACTACTTAGGAGTCTGTGTATGTTAAGCACATAAGCTTAGATTATGAGGGTTTGAATACCACCCTTGCCAATAACCAGCTTTCTCAAAGCTGCAGCATTTTCAGCTCCAAAAGTGGGGAATCATAGTTCTCATCTCATTGGGCTAGTGTAAAGATTAAATGAGATGATACCTGTAAGGTGTTTAGCCCAGTGTAGGCCAGGAAAGTGATTGTTACTTTTACTTGCTTGGCAACCTTAGGTAGCATAATGCCTCATCTGGCGGCTTTGATCATGGCGTCTGCCCAGGGAAGGTATAGCAACCCCCCTCCAACCCCCTTACCCCCCAGGAATAAGTGAATTTGTGATATGATTGTATTAGTCCATTTTTATGCTGCTGATAAAGACATACCCAAGACTGGGTAACTTATAAAGAAAAAGAGGTTTAATGAACTCGCAGATCCACGTGGCTGGGGAGGCTTCATAATCATGGTGGAAGGCAAAAGTCATGTCTTACATGGTGGCAGACAAGAGAGAAAAGAGAGCCAAGTGAAAGAGGTTTCCCCTTATAAAACCCTCAGATCTCATAAGACTTATTCACTATCACCACTACCACGAGAACAGTATGGGGGAACCGCCCTCATGATTCAATTATCTCCCACCAGGTCCCACCTACAACATGTGGGAATTATGGGAGCTACAATTCAAGATGAGATTTGGGTGTGGACACAGCCAAACCATATCAATGATGAACTGGAAAAGAATTGAAGGGTGTGCCCCTATTGGCCTGGCATGTGGCTGTCTGCCCACCCATGGTGGGAGCAGGTGCCTATTCACCCTGCTCACCTAGCCCCTGCTTCCCTCAGCTCCCCATAGGCATGTCTGCATTCCTGTGCCCCTTATGGGCTGTATTCATTTCTGGCCCCTGCACTGTGCTCCAGGCATAAGCTATTTTAGTGACAAGTTCCTTGAAATGCTACACCTTCCCTGCCCACCCAGACAGAGACCTCTCCAGGCCCAGCTGTCAAGTATCGATTTCCCCTTTAAATATTACTGCAGCCCAGGAGCATGTATGGATTAATTGACGAGGCTAGGCTTGTACCTGCACACTTCATTAACAGCTGCTACTAATTAGTGGAGTAGTCATTTAGAGACCTACTGGGGTTTTGAGGATAATAGTTTTATTTATTTTTTTCCATGACTCTTAAGCATACAATAAATTGGGGAGTGAAATGCCATGGGCCCAAGTTTGGATGGGAGTCATGGGGCAGCCTGTGCTCTGGATCTGCCCTAAGAACACAACAGAAACTAGGACATCACCACAGTGGGACCCAGAGTTAAGCGGCCCTTCAGGTCATCTGGTCTACTATATGTGGCTACTGTGGCTGGGACTGGGATAGGGGCAGGGCCTCATTCTCAAGGTCACACAGGGACAGGGAGGCAGACCTGGGATGAGCACCCAGGGCTGCTGGCCTTGTTGCTGGCCAGGGCTCTGTTTGCTAAATGGGGACTCTGCCGCATACATTTGGAGAACCCAAATGTGGGAGGATAGACCAAGCTCATGGCCACGTCCTCCGCCTGCCCCAATCTTACCCTCTTTTCCCAAGAGGGTGTTGCCCTTCCTTTCCCATTTCTGGGCCTCCTCCCATCCCATCCACATCACTCCACCCTTCCCACTCCCACTGGAGTCCTGCTATACCTTGCTGCTGGAACCCCTTTTTCTGTCCTTAGCATCTCCAAATGGACTAGACTCGACAAGCAAACAGTCTGCAGTGGACCCCTTGGGTCATCCATTCTGATGGAAACAGTGAGTCGAATTAATCCTAAGTCTTTGAATTTGGGCTACTCATTGACTCTCTCAGCTTTATCCTCACCAGCTCATGGTGAGGCTGAATGCACAGTAGTAAAGGGGACCAAGCATGGGGATGGCATGGAAAGAGTGGTTCCTCAGCAGATGGTAGTGCCTGTGCCCCTGTGCTCCTTAGGGAGGTGGTCTGTGGGCAAACCATCGTGCTTTCCTCAGGCTGACCTGGACCATTCACTGAGTGCACGTTGAGAGATTTTACAGCAAAGGAATAGAGACTTATAGAGACTTGACTTATTATTTCCTTCTTGTTTTACAGATAATGACAGTAATTCGCATCACTAACCTTCCCTGAAAGCTTACTACATGTCAGGAAGTGCTATTCTAAAAGGGCTTCACATGTATTCATTCATTTCATCCTCCTGACAATCCTGTGATACAGGTGTTTTTGTTATGAGTCCTATTTCAACAAAGCACAAGTGAATACAGTAAGTTGCCCGTGGCTACACAGCATGTCAGAGGTAGAGGTGAACCCGGCATTCCAGCTCACAGTCCAAACCCTTAGCCACGGAACTCTCTGACCTCTTAGAGAGGTCGATTTCCTGGCTAAGGGAAACCCCTGTTCCCCAGTGTGTGCTGTGTGGGTGGCAGCTGTGTTGGTGCCACAGGTCTGTGTCCCCTGGACATCTGCTGATTTATCCGGGGTGGTCACTTGAAGCAAAGACTGTCCACACTATATAATTTGAGTGATATGGCTCAAAAGTGCGGGCTGGGCCAATCTGAGTTCGATCTGGGGAAAGGTATGAAAGAAGCTGAGCCTGGAGGTGGGTAGAGTTGATGAGCTTGACCTAGGGCTGGAGACTCATCATGATCACCAGCTATGAGTGATTGGAGGAAGCCAGCTGGCTGAGAAAGGAGACAGAAAGGTGAATGAATGCCATGAGAGAGACCTCAGTCCTGGAAGGGCAGCTTTCCCCTACAGTCTCAGGGTGCTGGCTCCCATGGAGTCAGGCTGCTCCTGGCCTCCTGTTTAGGTATTCTGGTGAGGATGTGCTTTATATCAAACTACAGATGCCCATTGATTTACGATGGGGCCATATACTGATAAACCCATGGTAAGCTGAAAATACTGTCAGTCAAAAATGCACTTTTGGGCTGTGCATGGTAGCTCATGCCTGTAATCCCAGCACGTTGGGAGGCCGAGTCGGGCAGATCACTTGAGCCCAGGAGTTTAACGTGGCGAAGCCCTGTCTCTACAAATATACAAAAATTAGCTGGGTGTGATGGTGTATGCCTATAGTCCCACCTACTCAAGAGGCTGAGGTGGGAGGATTGCTTGAACCCAGGAGGTGGAAGTTGCAGTGAGCTGAGAAATGCCTCTGTACTCCAGCCTGGGTGACAAAGTGAGACTCCATCTCAAAAAAAAAATGCACTTTTTATTTAAGATATTTTCAACTTTTGATGGGTTTATTGAGATGTAGCCCCATTGAAAGTTCAGGAGAGGACTGAATGTGTATTGCTTTTGCACCATTGTAAAGTCAAAAAATCCCAGGTGGAACCCTCATAAGTTGGGGACTGTCGGTAATTTCTCTCTTTGAGTCTCTCTGGTTGAACTCGCAGCCTCTCTCTTCCTTGGAAACAGAATAACTCTAATATGAACAGTTATCTTATCAGCTCTATAGAGTAGCACCAATGTGAGGTGGGGCTCAACTCCATCTATCAAGCAAGGCTTCTGCACAAGAACAATATCCTTTTTAAAAATTTGTTTTAATTTTTTTTTTTTGAGACATAGTCTCGCTATGTCACCCAGGCTGGAGTGCAGTGGCATGATCTCAGCTCACTGCAACCTCTGCCTCCCGGGTTCAAGCGATTCTTGTGCCTCAGCCTTCTGAGTAGCTTGGACTATGGGCGCGTGCCACCATGCCTGGCTGAATTTTGTATTTTTAGTAGAGATGGGGTTTTGCCATGTTGGCCAGGCTGGTCTCTAACTCCTGACCTCAAGCAATCTGTCTGCCTCAGCTTCCCAAAGTGCTGGGATTACGGACGTGAGCCACTGCACCCGGCCCACAATATTCTTAAATATAACTGGCATAGATGGGTAAAGTACTCTGGACACAGTGCCCAGCTGAACATAAACATCTGTACTAGTCAGGGTAAGGATGAGGTAAGTGGCTTATGGAGGACTGAAGTTTCTTTCTTTTTCACTGCACAGTTCTAAAGTGAATGGCCAGGGTTGGCAGGGCAGTGCTGAGCCTCACAGCCATCCAGGGATTGGGGTCCTCCAAACCACTGCCCCACCATCCTTGAGACCCTTGGTGTAATCTCAGTGTTGGAGCAGGGAGGTGCCATGCCTGGTCCTGCCACAGCTGGAAGAGAGCATGGAGGGGCACCTGATGTCCCAAGTCATCTCCACTCCCCTTCCACTAGTGAGAACTTAGCACATGGTCTCACCTAGCTGCAAGGGAGCCTGGGAAGTGTAGTCTTTTTCAGAGTTGGCAACTGCTGTCTGTAAAGGGCTGGATAGGAAATAGTTTCAGCTTTGTGGGGCCATATACTCTCCATTGCAAGTACTCAACTCTGCCCTTGTAGCTTGACAAAGACCATAGAAAATATGCAAATGAATGGGCATGGCTGTGTTCCAATAAGACTTTATTCATGGACTCCTAAATTTGAATTTAATATCACTTTCATGTGTCATCAATATTATTCTTTTTTTCCAACCATTAAAAAGTGTAAAAGCCTTTCCTAGCTCATGGCCGTTCAAAACTAACTAGTGGTTTGGAACTGGCTGGTGGGTCATAGTTTGTGGACTTCTGACTCCTGGTCTGGACAGCGATTTTGGGCTTGGCCACACTTTGTTAGGGGAGATTGGATTTTGGCAGAGAGTGAGCGATCTCTACCACTACGTCTACTGCAGGGCTTGCTTAGAGAGAGGTGTCTTAGCAAAAGCAGGGTGCCCCCTGCCCCCTTCTCTGTACAAACAGAAGAGCAGAATTCACTTGGTGAGGGGGGAACAGCAATGCCCCTCTTCCCAAACTTTTCAGGAGCAAGGGGAGGGAGAAGCCATGGTGGGGGGCTCCTGATGTCAACAGGTTGTAGAGAAAGTGTCAGCTCAGCCCTGGAAGGTCTTCTGCAATGCCAGATAAGGAGCTACAAGCTGGCCTCCCAGGGCTAGAGGCTTGCCATCCAGAAGCAACCAGCGGCTGGGCCGGGAGACAGGTGGCAGCACCCCCATCCCTGCTACTAGGGCTCAAGGACACCATGCAGGAGGTGGCTTTCAACCAGACAATGACAATTTTTAATAATTAGAAAGTGACAGCTACAAATATAAAATGTGACCAAAAAATCTGTCAGAAGGAATGAAGATACCATTATTTGAAGAGTGTTTTCCTCCATCCCTCCCTCCTCCTCATCAACTCCCAATGTGGGGGTGGGAGCTTGCCAAGCAAAGCTGATATCAGTTATTGAGAAAAATAGAATCATTCCCTGTTTGTACATCACTGAGTTTATACTGTCAATCAAAACAGCTACACATATTTTTAGCATCAACTGCCAATTATTCTTTCTGTCTCAGAATAATCAGAACCAAAGACTGAAAAATTCACTTAAGGGTGTTAGACATGGAGTCAGGCCAGCCTGGGTTCTGACAGTCCTGGTTCTGACAGGTCCTGTGTGACCTCCACAAGCCCTGTGACCCCTCTGGGACTCAGTCCCCTCATTTGTCAAATGGAGGAGAGTAAAACCTATTGTGCAGGTTCGTGGGGAGAAGCCCATTTCGGAGCATTGCTCAACAGCAAAGGATGACTTTAGTTTGTCTCTGTGGGTCTCAGTCTTCTCGTGTGTCAAGTGGATGGTTGGACTCCATGATCTGTTTCCACTGTGACTTTCAGTCGCTGCACCACTGATGGTTGAGTCTCTGACTTTGGAGGAGAATGCTGCCCTTCACAGGTGCTTCTTTCTACAGGGAGGTTTTGAAGAAGATGAAAGCAGTGGCTTGATTAGGAACTTCCTGCTCTTCAACCTTCCCAGGCTTTCTGGGCACAGTGCAAGCTGACCTCCTCTGGGATGTCCTCCTAGATTTCTTCAGGCACAGGCCATCTCTCCTGTTTATTAGGGACCCGTGTATTTAAACTTGACCTCTACCCCAGCCTTTGTTGTCTACTTTCTGGTCTGCCTGGGGAATTTGCTAGAGGTAAACTCCCTGTAGCCACTCTGATAACTGATCCTAACCCTAACCCTCACCCTAAGCCCACCTGGAGCTCTGTGAATGGGTCTGACATGCACACACACATCATAGCTCTGTCGGCGACACTGGCCCCACTTACTGGCTTTAACCCTCCCTGAGCCTCAGGTCCCAACATTTGCCTTAAGGCACCCTTGCTTAAACAGCCCATTCAGACACACTCACTTGTTTGACCTTGGTGTTGGACACAAGGAGCCCTGCTGTTCAGTTGCTCCTCTCATCCCATAAGTGTGGGCTGGAGGTGCCCTGTTTTGGGGCTAGCCTGGGAGAGGCCACCAATCTCACATGCCTGTCATGCAAAGGAGACAAAGCACCCAGATCTCCCAGCCAGGAGCCCCTGTTGATAGCCATGTCCTCTTGGACCCTGGGGTGACGTGGAGAGCACAGCAACCAGCTGGTCCACAGACCGTGCAGACGTTCTATTGGCCTCACATTGCCCACTGGCTTCGTGCAAGCAGGAAATGCTATCTCAAGTGGAGCTCTGTCCCCTCTTCCTGTCACTGTACAAATGATGGATCAATGACCACCCTGGGAGAGTGATGTTCTTAGGGAACATGTGAGAGAGCCAGCCAATGAAATGTATAATGCAAAATTAAGGATGCTGGTCCTTGTTCACCTCATTAACCATCTAAACTCTTAGTATGTGTGAGGCATGTTGTGGTATGTGACAGCATTTAATTCATCCATTCATTAATTCCTTTTCCATTCAGTGTTTGTGGTCTGTCCATAGGTGTTGGGAATATGGGGCAAATAAGACAAATAGTTCCAGGTCTGGTGGCGCTTACAGCCTGGGAGGAGCTACACAATGAAACAATTACAAAAGCATTTGATTTGACGAGCCTGCAGCCTGGGCTGTGGAGTTGAAGGTGGCCAGACAATGGTGAGGGCCAGGGTATAGGGCAGAGCACCCAAAATGTTCCAGGCAGAGAGAAAAGAAAACAGGTGGGAGAGCTGAAGGGAGATGCTTGTGTCTGGATACCAAAGCATGGGGGTGGGCAAGGTGGTTCTCCAAGGGGGTAGGGAGGGGCTAGACTCTAGGGGCCCCAAAAAGCATGACAATAGTGTTTGAACTTTAGCTGGAGAGCAAGGGAAGTCCCCAAAGCTTTTCTGGCAGTTGTACAGCAGGACAAGTTTTCACTTAGAAGGACTCCTCCAGCTGCTGTGTCCAGGGTACATGGATAGGAGGAGAGTGGAAACTGCTGAGGTCACCCAGGTAAGACATGTGGAAAGCTAGAGCCATTAGGATGGCATGCAATGGGTTGAGATCGGTTCAAGAGCTCTAAGGAGGAAGAGCCCACAGGATTTGGATATAGGGAGAGGGAGCATCAAGACTGTTCTTAGGTCTCCCTTTTGAGTGTCTGGTTGGACGGTGGCGTCTTTAATTAAGATTGGAAACACAGAGGGATAAATGGACTTTGGGAGGAAGATGATTGCCTGTGAGACCCCCAGGTGGGTCTGGAGTTCAGGAGAGAGGTCTGGGGCAGATAGTGATCAAGATGGGAAGTCGGAGGTATAGAGGTGGAGACGGGCTCCTCTGGAGGGCTCAAGTCTTCCAGAGAGGAGTGGACAGGGCCTGGCATGGATCACTGGAAACTTTTCTCAATGCTCCACAGCCTCTATGTACAGTCCTCAAATTATATGCCAATTATGCACCAATTATATAACCCTTCTTGGTCAACCAGAGGAAAAGAAAGATAAAACTAAGAGAGTGTAGTAGAAATGGGGGAGGTTAAGGGTCATTTTTTTGCCTTCTCCTACTCATCCCAGCCACAGGGCCTTTGCACTTGTTGCATGAATTCCTGGACCACCCCTTCCCCAGATGTTGGTCTGGCTGGCTCCTCAGCCTTCAGGTCAAATGTCACCTTCCCTGATAGCCATCTGATTACCCTGTCCCAAACTGTGCTGCTCTCAGCTGTCCCAGCCACAGCAACTGATTTGACTTTCTTGTCTTCTTGTCCTACCTTCCTTCCTTCCTCCCTCCCTCCCTCACTTCCTCCCTTCCTTCCTTCCTTCCTTCCTTCCTTCCTTCCTTCCTTCCTTCCCTCCTTCCTTCCCTCTTTCTTTCCTTTCTTCCTCTCTCTCTCTCTCTCTCTCTCTTCTTATTTTAGAGACAGGATCTTGCTGTGTCGCCCAGGCTAGAGTGCCATGGCACAATCACAGCTCACTGGAGCCTTGAACTCCTGGGCTCAAGTGATCCTCTCAGCTCAGCCTCCTGAGTAGCTGGGACTATACGTGTGCACTACCACACCCAGCTAATTTTTTTTTTTTTTTTTGAGACAGGGTCTCACTCTGTTGCCCAGGCTGGTCTTGAGCTCTTGGGCTCAAACAGTCCTCCTGCCTTGGCCTCCCAAAATGCTGGGATTACAGTCCTGAGCTACCAAGTCCTTTGCTCATTCCTTTGTGGGTCTTTTTTCTGTTTCTCCTGACCATGTAAAACCCCTGAAGGCAGGGACCTTATCTGTGTATTGTTCACAGCTGCTTCTCCAGCACTGTCCTTGGCTTGAGTTATTCTCAATTCCCCTTCCCTTCTCCTCCAACAGGCATGCAGCAGCAACACATGTGTGTGGGCTCTAGCTCTTGTGCCTCTCCTGGGTCTGTTCCTGTCCCTCAGCCACTGCTGTCTGAACTGCATCCATGAGCAGGTCTTGCTTGGGTCACTTGTCTTTCCTCCCTCTGCTCTTCTATTGTATGATTCACATGGCAGCCAGGAGCCTCTGTCTAAAATGGAAATCTTCTCATGTGGTTCCCTTACCTACACTCTGCAAACGACATCTGAAAACAACTCCAAATGCCGTATGACCCTTTTCAGAGGCCATGATAGTCTAGCCCTTGCCTACCCTGCCAGTTTTCTCTCCTCCTTTGCCCTTCACTCTGCGTCAGACACATGGAGCTCTCAGCGTCTCCAGTGTGCTGCTCCTCCCTCTCACCTGGGTGCCTCTGCTCTGCCTGCCATAGCTTGTAGGAGCTCTCTAAATACTGAATGCACACATGACAAATCCAGGACAACAAAGGGAGAAAGGATACTCATTGGGACAGATTTGCCTCCTGTTTCTCTCCCTTTCCAGGGAAGCCTAGCAGAGCGTCTTACATTCTCACTGCAGGTCTCTCGTAAGCCCCAAACACTTTCCCTTGTCCTAGCATTTGATGCCTGAGTCCCTCAACCCAGTACCTTGAACTGCCTCCAGGGCCCCAGCCATCCCAGGCAGCCTTAATTAATTGTAAAATTGATTAAGCAGCCCCCTTTGTTAGGCTGGGCTGGTGTTTATTTGTATTTTCATACTATTATCCTTTTATACTTCTCTGGGCGCCTTCAGCTCTCTACTGACACCTTTTATTGGGGAAATGTTAATTTAAAAATCATCTATAATGCAGGTGTCACAAATCAAAGCTGTTCGGTAATGAGTTGCTCTTATGTCGTATAAAAACAATTAATTAAAACCCTTTCTGAGAGAGCCGTGCCAGCAGATTTATGTTTCCCAGTGTCTCCCCCTCGACCTTCCTTTCTAAGGACCCTCATGCACTCAGCTGGCTTCTATGGGGGTATGGTTTCCTCCCACCTCTCCCCAGGAAATAGAATTCCAGCCCGGTGGAGTGGAGAAGGCTCCAGGAGGGCGTCGGGCCCAACCACCTTGCGTTATGGAGCACAGAGAGGGATTCTGCTGTGGTCACATAGCACCTAAGTGGTTGCAGCAGCCTCAGAACAGGCTGTCCTGCCTGAGTCGTTCCTCGTGATCACTGCTGGCGTTTCTCCTGCTGGCCTTCATGGCAAGGCTGATGGCCAGGGCACACAGGAGCAACGGCACTGCTGGTCTAGCAAGTACCACTCTCTGGCCTGCTCCACAGCCCGGCCACAGCAAGGGAGGTGAGTCATTCTCCGCTGACAGATGCAGTCACTCCACAGATGCTTTCCATCTTTGCTAATTAATTCTGCACTTAAGATAATCCAAGGGCTCTAAGTTCTGGTCTTGCCTCTACTCCTGACCCATCCTGTAACCTTGGGTAAATCACTTCCCCTTGGTTGGGCCTCAGCTTCTCTCTCTACAAAATGGGTATATTGATTGAAACCAGGGGTTGCAAATTCAAATACTCATAGGTACCATCAATGAATAAGGCAGTCCCGGCGGGACCTGGGAAAAACCATAGAGGAGCATGCCCTATCTGAAGGAGACCACCTCTATCCCTTTCAGATGCTTGTGGCCATAAGAAAAAGCAGGCCTGGCGTTGCTCTTTGCAGAGAAACTGGAAATCCAGCTTGGGGTTTCAAAATGTTGATGAGCGGGCCAGACCTTGCTCAATTTGTCCTCAGAGCCCCTTCTTCCACATCCCCTGTTCTGCTCTCAGGGGCTGGCCATGTCTCTCTGTGACCTACTGAGGTTCCAGGGTGGCTGGGTCATCCTGGCTCCTGGGCTTCGTCACCAGCACCTCCTTCCTCCCTCCTTACCTCCCTAGGGTCTAGAGCTGGTGCTGGTCTCTGGGTTGCCTTGCTGGTTTCTCCTCACCTGTGTCTCCAGTCCTCATGTTAAATTCCCTCTGTTTTAAATACCTCCCATGGTTTATGGGTTCCTGGTTGGATCCTGACTGATACATTTCATAATTTTATTAACAGACATTATTATTAATGAACACAATGAAGAGCAAAAATCTTGTCCGTGGGTGGCTGGATAGGGTATGAAGATTCCAGGTTATAATTTGGTTCAGGGTAGACCTGGGAAATCAGACGGTATCAGTCACTGTAGAAGCTTCCAGTCTTATATACTCTCCAGGGCATCTGCATCTGGCCCTTCTGCCTCCACTAAAAAGTGACCTCTCATTCTCCATTGCTGGGACTTCTTCTGGCCCTGCCCTGCTCACCCTCTCCCTGGTTGGTGGTTCTTTTTTTGAGACTAGGCCTTGCTTTCTCACCCCAGGCTGGAGTGTAGTGACGTGATCACAGCTCCTTGCAGCCTCGACCTCCTGGGCTCAAGTGATCTTCCCACCTCAGCCTTCCAAGTAGCTGGGACCACAGGCACACCACAATGCCTGGCTAATTTTTTTTTTGTATTTTTATAGAGATAAGATCTCACTATATTGCCCTGGCTGGTCTCAAACTCCCGTGTTCAAGTCATCTGCCTGCCTCGACCTCCTAAAGGGCAAGCGGGATTACAGGTGTGAGCCATTGTGCCTGGCCTGGTGACTTCTTTTATGAAGGGGGATTGGGTGGGCTCCATGCAGGCAAATGACTCTCTCCCTCCCCTGACCTCTCCAGCCTTCTCCACAGCCCAGCCACAGTGAGGGAGTCATCAGCACTGGAACCCGGGGTCCACGGCCTTGGAGGATCCGGACCCTCCGCATTTGAGGAACTTGGCCTTCAGTCAGGGAGCCAAGAAGTCCCTGCCAATCAAGGAGGGGGTGTGGGCTGGTGGGGGGGGGGCAGCCTTGGGGCACGGGAGCTGATAGACCAGACTCAAGAGTTCTACTCCTGACTTCTAGATTGTTCCACCTCCATATGGAATATGTTCCTTCCATCTAACACTGTGTGATTTGGGGACCATCCAACTCAAATGAAAGAAGCCAAGCCATGCAGCGAGCCACCCCCTCCCCAATGTGGGGTACCCCCTGCCCCCGCCCAGCTCCCCTGCCCTCCCAGCTGAGGGGGGATCGCCGCCTGGTGATCTCAGCCTCCCCTCCAAGTGGGCTGTGAAGTGTCTAATCCAGGCTTTCATCTGGCATCCACAATTATAATGTCAAGATTGAATAATCTGCCTTTATCTCCCGGGTGACAGCCATGTAGAAACTTCAAAAGAAACAGTTTTGCTGGCATCTAACGGCTTTTGTTAATTACTATATCCCAAAGAAAATGAAATAAAGGAGGGAGAAAAATGATATTTCTCTGTGACAACTTTGTAAAAATATCAGTGATGAAGTGGTGCGGTTTAAGGGCTTTAAGTATTCATGCGGCTGAGATGGGGCCTCTACCCTCCCGCTGGGAAGCTTAAGCGTGCCCGAGGGTGCATGCACACACACACTCACACACTCACACATGCACACACGCACTCGGATCTGCTCCCAGACCCCTTCAAACACCATACATGTGGTTATGGGCACTCATCTTCATAACCCTCTCACAAAGTCCTGTGCTACACACACGCACACACACACACACTCATACGAGTAGAGTACTCCTTCCTTCATTGGATGGTTCAGAACCCTTCCTATGACCCCAGTTGCTGCTAGGGACACAGGCTTGAAAGAGGGTCCTTTCAGGGTAGCGGGACAGCGAGGAAGACACACAGGCAGACAGTAGCTCGTTTTCTGTTTTCTCTTGTGTCACACTGCACAGGTGTCATGTGCCATGTGGGCACCTAAGAACCATGTGATGGAGGGAGCAAAAGCACAGGCTGTGGGCCGGGCTGCCTGGATTTGAATCCTGGGGATATCTTGCTGTAGCTGTGTGACCTCGGGCAAGTCATTCAACTTCTCTGTGCTGGAATGTCTTCACCTGTAAAATGGGGTCAATAATCGGGTGTCCTGGACAGGAGGAGGTACAAGATGAGGTAAATGAAGTAACACAGTTAAAGTGGTCCCCAAATGTTAGCTGTCATTTAGAGGTGTGCAGAGTGGCTGACTCTGCCTGAGGAGGAGTGGCCTGGCGTTACCAGAAGGCTTCATGGAAGAGGCGATATTTGAGTTTGCAGCCTTGAAGGTTAGAGGAAAAGGAGCACATATCCCAGGCAGAAAAAACAGCTCATGCAAAGACTTACAGGTATGGTGGTGCATTCATGTCCCATCCGTGGTGAACATCTGGTGTGACTGGAGAACAGTGTGAGGTATCAGGAGGAGAACTGGATGGGTAAAGGCTCTGGAAAGGTAGGCGGGATGTACCTTAGTGGTGACAGACCTTGGGTTTCATTGAGAGGGTGGAGTTTCCCTCGAGGAGCTGGGGGCTGCTGAAGGGCTGTGGTCTGTTGAGGACCCCCATCAGATGGGGGGAGCCATGGAGAATCGGGGGCAGGTGGGCATGGCCTGGAGTGGGCCTGGAAACAGGAGACCAGGCTGTTCTGAGAGGTCATGGGGCACCCCCACACTCACTCGCTGACACACACATACACACTCACACGTGTTCATAAACACCCACAGGCTCACAGTTCCACACCGGTACACACATACTTTCCTTTCCTCTTGTTTCCCAAATGGCACTTGTAGGTGGACTTTTAAATTGAAACTCCATTTCTCTGCAGTGGCTCTTGACTCCTCAATTACCTGGTAGTGGATTGGCAGAGATGTGATTAATGGAGGAAATTGCCAAAATTAACCCCTGGAGGCCTTATGTGCTCCTCTGTGATATGAAGGGAGTGCCTCCGAGGTAGAGGAGCATGGGCTGGCGACAGCTTTGGTCCTGTGGGGCAGGAGACCTGGCATCTGGTTCGGGTCTCAGTCTCCCTAGCTGTAAAATGGGAGAATTGAACTCGTTCTCCAAGAGCCCATCTAATGACATTGTTCTAGGGTCTTCATGAGGGCTAAACAATCACATCAGTGTGTGCTAGAAATGCCTCCCACAGAGCAGTGAGCTCATTTCAAAGCAAAAAGCAGTTTTGGGATAACAGTCTACTGAGTGCCAGGCACAGAGCCAGGCACTGCAGGGGATTCAAACCTGAGTAGGAGAGGATATCTGTGTCCTACTTCCTCCTGGCCTCAGCCCTCTTGTTACTTTGGAAGTCCCTGGAGGACAGACACTGTCTGGAAGCTGATGCCAAGGTACCCTGGGCACTGAGTGAGGGAGAGGTGGCACCCCATTTGATTGGAAGGGGCAGCGTGTATAGACTGAGCCAGGCCTCTGGGGGAAAGGGAAGGTGAACATCCCAGGCATGGGGCATAGCCTGGGCCCAGGAAGAAGCTCAGGATGTGTTTGGGACCTGTTTTGACTGCCTGGAGCTCAGAGAGTGAGACCTGGAGGGTCAAGGCCAGGAAGGTGTGGGTATTTGGAGGCCTTGGTCTTATTTTAGACAGTAACACAAAGTGGCTCCAGCAGAGGCAGGGAGGTAAAGGAAGCCTCCACAAAGTATCCTATGGGCACCAGGGCGGGAGGAGCTGTTGGCCTTCAGGAGCTGCTGGTCACACGATTGGCCAGCCTGGGGGACCCGTCAACCTCTGCTTTTCTTATCATGCCCTTTTTACTCTTTTTTTCTACTTGAGGCTGGCTGGCTTGTGAGGAAAATGGCCACCCCTTCTCAGCTTGCCACAACCTAGACTGAGGAACCAGGTTTCTCTGGGGAGAGGATCTGATGGGTTCCACGTGGGTCTAATCGGATTTGACAAAAGAGGTGGAGTACTACTATGGGCAGAGCATGACAAACCCCTTTGCAGGATTGTGGGGGCTTGGCTGGCTGCCACTCTCCCTCCCTTCGGCTTTGGAAGCTTGGCAGAAGATTGCATGGATGTTTGTAGGCCATGGGGACCCGTGGCAGGTGGGGTCCGCCACATTTTAAAAAGGCTGTCTGACTCTAGAGTCATAAGTGGACACAATACGTAGGGAGGGAGCCAGAATAAAGCAAGAATATCCCAACCTTGTGAGGTCACAAACAGAGTCTCTTCCCTTAGCGTAAAGTGGCTTTCCGGGGAGATCCTGTCCTCAAATTCTCCCTTTCCCATGGCAATCAGCAAGGGGGTTTTCCTGGTATTTGTGGTCAGGTCTTGACCCATGGAAGCAGGCAGGTAGAGAAGACTAGTGACTCTCTACCCTGGAAGGCAGGAGACTGGGGCAGGAAGTTTGAGGCTTGGACTAAGAGGTGACCCTGTTGGCACAAGAAGGACAGCAGGGCAGGCAAGTGGAATCCCATCATCTTTGACCACCTGCCTGCTCCAGGAAGCAGGCATTTGCCCTGCTGGGATCTTCTGAAAGTGTGCAACCTTGAATGGAGCCAGAGAGGAGAGGAGTCTGTGCACTGGGAGGAGTGAATGGAATTCCGCTGTTTTGCAAACATTCCAAAGCAGCAGGAGCCTTCAGTCAAATGAGCCTCCTCCCCACATAAAGCAGAAAGACCTGGAGCTGCTGCAGGTGGGAGGCCTGCAGGCCCACTCAGGACAGCTGCGGAGGCCAGGAGGGGTGCCCCCTGCAGTTGTGTAAGGCACAATCAGCCCAGCCACACAGGCTGGCCCCAGCCCACTCCACTGGTTGTCCTGCCCTTGTCCCCAAGCCACATCCTAGAAGTTCACTGAAAACTCATCATCTGGATGAGGCCAAGTGAGGGTCACCAGCTTGGCCAAGAGCACCCCTAGATATCGATGACTAAGGGGGGATTCCATGCAAGACAGGGCTATATTGAGGTGACTGCATTTGGAAGTTTGGACAAAGACACTAGGCTTTAGCTTGCATTGCACTGATGCCCTCTTTGGCCCTGGAAGCCTCTGTGTTAAGAATCTTCTGGGGCTACCTTGTCCCTCTGGCCCCTGTGTCAAAGTGTCACCTGTGCACATGCTGGTGTGTGTGTGTGTGTGTGTGTTTTGAGATGCAGTCTCGCTCTATCACCCAGGCTGGAGTGCAGTGGTGCGATCTCGTCTCACTGCAGCCTCTGCCTCCCGGGTTTAAGAAATTCTTCTGCCTCAGCCTCATGAGTAGCTGGGATTACAGGTGTGCACGACCATGCCCAGCTAATTTTTGTGTTTTTAGTAGAGATGGGGTTTCGACATATTGGCCAGGGTGGTCTTGAACTCCTGACCTCAAGTGATCCTCCCACCTCAGCCTCTCAAAGTGCTGGGATTACAGGTGTGAGCCACCGTGCCTGGCCCACATGCTTTTGAACTGAGCACAAGTCATTCATTTGGATTATGTATTTCCCTTTCTTCTTAGATCTCATTGAAAACCCGCACTGGTGGGATTTGGGTTTTAGCATCACAGTAAGGGGCTCCCTCTGCCCTCTCTGGACCCCTGGGCACATCTAGTGCTGACCACCTTCTTTCCAGAATGCTGATCCCAGGGTTTCAGGGCCCTCAAAGCTCTGAGTGTCCCCTGTGATGCTGGCAGCATCACCCTTCTGCCCTAGCTAAGCCCCCTTGTCCCCAGAGCCCCTCTGCATGGTGGTGAGGAGGGAGCTGGGGCTGTTCATTCCCCCCCAATTAACCCTGCCTGCCTGAGGGGAGCACTGGCCCCGGAACCAATCTCAGCCTCCCTTCCACTAGTCATTAGTCTCCCCCGCTGCAGGTAGAGTGACAGGCAGGCTCAGGAGCTCCTGAAAAGGCCTTTGTTTTATCGCCTTCAGTTCAGATGCTTCAGAGCACTAGCAGGCCATATTTTAATCTCAGGTCTTTGCAAACAAAATCGTTAAAAGCAGATGGCTGTGAAGACTGCCATGAATATTAATAGATATTGAAAAAAAGGCCCCTTAATCTTTCCATAAATCTTTCTGAGGAGGTGGGGGAAGACTTGGAGATGAGGGCTGCAGTGTAGTTGCAGGTACCCTGGCCCTTCCTATCTGGGCTTGATCCTAATAACTGAGGAATTAGCACAAAGATAGGTGGTTCCAGCCCAGAGTTGGGCACTGAGATGGGCCTGGAGAAGCAGTCTTGGGCTTGCCATCTCCTGTCTTCCTTTCTCCTTCCCCTGCAGAGCTGGGCTGGGTGAGGACCCGGATCCTGCTCAGCACCCTCATTCATGCTGAGGCCAGCTGTGGATCGGCCCTGTTCTCTTGGTGCTCTATGTAACGATGCTGTTTGCTGTCACCCATTGTGTGCCAATTTCCACACCTGTCAGCCTTGCATCAACCTTTTGAGGTGGAATTATCATCCCCATTTCACAGATTAGGAAATAGACTCAGGAAATAGAAACAGCTGGCTCCAGATCACTGGGTCAGTAAGTGGAATGGAAGCGATCTGGACCCAGATCTGTTGGCCCTGAAAGCCTACGTGTTAAGAGTCTTCTAGGACCGCCATGTCCCTCTGGCCCTTGTGCAAAAGTATCACCTGTGCACCTGCTTTTGCACTAGACACCATTCATTCATTCATTTGGATTATACATTTCTCTCTCTCAGTTGTCTTTTAAAATGCAAACACTCCTGGGAGAGGTAACCTATTAAGTGGCTGAGAAATATTAAAAGCTGTTCAGCCGCATAATCCAGGACCTGAGTTGAAGTCTTAGCTCAGCCATTTCCTGGCTCCATGACCTTGAGGCAGCATTTAATTCCACAGAGTTCGTTTCCTCTGGAAAAATGTGGGAATAATGAAACAACCCTATGAGGTAGACAGACGGGGCAGGAATTTGAAGAGATCAAAGATAGGAAAGCACTTTGAAAACCACATACCATCATACACCTGCAGAGGAATACGGTCTTCATCGTTGTTGAAACACCTGATTCATTTCCCATCACTTTCATGGTGATATGAGGGAATAAGAACCAGGGGTGGGGAGAGGTGAAGCGGGCAGGGGGCACAGCCTGGTGGGAGTGGGGTGGTGGGTGGCAGGAAGGGACATGGCTGCTCTATGGAGCCAAGGGCATTGGTCCTAAGCTTTTCTTTTCCTGGCCAGTGGCTTTCCTTGCTTTATGCTTCAAATCTAATTCAGTCCATCTTCCTCCTTCCTCCCTCTCCACTCCTCCCTTCTTCTCTTCCCATTCCTCCCTTCCTCCCTTCCCTCCTCATTGTCTGTCTCTCTCTCTGACAACAAATGTTTTTGGATCACTTGCTAGTGTTCCAGGGGTGGGGAATCAATAGCAAACATGAGCAGTGTGGTCCCTGCACTAAATAAGTAACAAACAAATAGATCCAGCAGGTGCATACTGGATAAACACTTTGCGAGAAACAGACAGGGGACCCATTTTACATAGGTGGAGGCCTCTCTGTTTTCCCAAGCTGGTTCTACAAAGCTGACTTATGTTGGGATGGCACCCCATATGACCAAGGCTGGAAAGTCCTTAGAGGACACAGGTGAGAGCCAGACAGTGAGATGAACAGAAAGAGTGAGCCAAGGGAAGCATCTTTTGGTGTGCTGCTTTCACCAGGCAATGGCCCCCAGGCCCAGCCTCCTGGCCAGGCCACACCCCTCCCAAACTCCTCCTCTGTCTGAGTCCCATCCCCATAATGGCCCCTCCCCTGGCCTGGTTCTGCCCACAGGCACTCTTCTTATATAGGATAATCTGGCTGACCTGATACTCCTAGGAGTGGGTTTAAGTGAATCCCAAAGACTGAGAAGAGGAGAGTGAGGTGGGGGCCTAGGAGGGGCTCACTGCGGTTCTCTGGCTCTAAGTTTTCATGCACAGGGTTCACAGGAACCAGTTTTGAGAGAAAACTCAGAAATGGAAAAAGTAATCCATCACTTGAGTCCCATTAAACTGTTGCTATTCCAAATGCAACCTATTCTTGGAGCCTGAGTACAAAGAGGCAGAAACTTGTCACGTTTCAACAAACATACTTTATTATACTGTATAATTTAAGGTATCATTTTATTCAAGTGACATTCAAACGTGTGAAAAACGGTTGCATATGCCAGAGCCATTAATGAAATCATTACGTACAAATGGTTACGCTTTACCAAGTCATTCATTAAAAGTAAATTAATGAGGGGGACAGCATTAAGATATTTCACAATCATTACCAGGTCCAGCCTAACCCACTTTTATAAATATTCATCAACAAAAACGTGCCTCAAGAACTCACCCAGTAAATTAAATTCTCGTCTTGAAGTGTTTTGCTTCTATTAATGGCATCAACCGTGGTACTTTCTTTGATTTGTTTTCCGGAACTTTGGGATATATTGTACGGAAATAATGACAAACTCTGAGTAATCGCTGATAATTAGGCCAAATCTATTATTCCCATGGTATTTACATTTTGATTACTATTTTCCCCCCAAAGGCAATGTCTTGAATCTATTCTAATACAAGGCAAAATAGTATCTGAGATTTTCAGGGCTGGAAGGAAACTCAGAAATTAGCTAGTCCAGCCTTCACCTGATGTTTGAGTCTTCTGTCAACATCTCTGCCATGCAGCCCTTTGCTTTCTACTTAAATACCTCCAATGATAGGGAACCCATTATCTCTGTGGCCCATTCCATTCTTAGACACCTTTGATTATCATTACCTCTTGTTAACTTTCATGCACATTCTTAGCCCCGTGCATCTGGGTGGAATGAAAAATTCTTCACAAAAATGGGAAAGTTGTCCTGTAGGTATAATCACACTCTGGTCTTCCCTTAATTCTTTGGCCTCCAGCCTAAGCATTTCCAGGATATTTGAAACTTCCTCTAAGGAACTGAACTCCAGCCTCTTCTATTTCTTTCTCTTTTCTGCAGAGTAGGCCTTACCATGAAGTCCCTGCAAGATCTGGTCTCGAACTTTATCTTCCCATCACCCACAGTTTCTCTCTGTGCTTTAATCAGGTAATCCTGAACCATGGCTGGTGACCTTACACAGACTGCTCATTAACTTTTAGCCTTTACACAGGCTTTCCCCTCTGTCTGAAATGCTCTTTCCCCCTTTATCTACCTGGTGAACTCCTATTCATCCTGCAGAACCCCTGTTCAGTGGTCAACACCTCTGTGACACCATCCTTGATTGATTCCCAACCCCTCCCCATGACAGACTGATCACACCTCCTTCCTATACTACTTCTGTTCTTTGTAAATACTTAGTATTTTCCAAGGGAGTGGGAGAGAAGAAATGCTAGGTTCATGAAGGGTCTCTAGGTTAAACTTTCTTTCTTTTTTTTTTCTTAAAACAACACACTTATTATCTTACAAATCTGTAGAACAGAAGTCCTTTCTTTGGCTCATGGCCACCTTCCTTCATCTTCAAAGCCAGCAACATCGGGCTGATTCCTCCCAGATTGGACTTTTGATGTTATTCTCTAAAGAGGAGAGTTAGACTTGTAGCCTCAGAGCAACAACATTCAAAGAGAGATGATTATCCACGCTTACATTTTTTGCCCCATCGCCAGCCCATGTTACTTGAGTGCACTCTGAAATCACATTATTTTTTAAAATAATGTAGCTATCTTGGAAAGAGCATAATTTTTATTGCATTGTATTGATAAGGCTAAAAGCATTAATTTGTGAAATGTAAACATTTAAAATCATCCACGATGTAACTTTGTTTTGACCTTTTTTTAAATATAAAGGATTGATTATGAGAAGTTGGCTCAGCGATTGTTGACATTTTAAAAAACCATTACTAATGAAAACAAAATATGATAGTGGAAGCTTCTCTGGTCCCTAAGAAGTCGTGCTAAGTGCCCACACCACACGGAGTGAATTTCCCTGCTCGCTGTGTGTCCTGCTTTCTAGTCCACATACATCACACAGTAGTTAAGAGTGCACACTCTGGAATTAGACTGCCTGGGTTCATGTCTAGCTAGGGGACTGAGTGACTCTGGGCCAGTTCCTGACCTCTCTGTGCCTCCCCTTCCCCATCTGTAAAATGGGGGCTAATACTGACACCTGCCTCATCAGAGGCTGAGCTCACTAATGATACATCGTATGTCAAGTGCCTGGTGTGCAGCTGTGCTCTAAAAGCCTTCCCTAACACAATTGGCCTCAGCACAGCCCCTGGTCCAGAGGGTGGAGTCTGCATACATCTCCTGCAACTCTGCAGATCCCATAGTCTAGGCCCTTCATCTAGAAAAGCTGCTCCTAGAGATGGTGCACACTGCCCCCCTCTCCTGCAGGCTCCACGCATGGCCTCTCCTGGACACTGGGAGCATCCGTGTGGATGTCTGGAAGAAAATAGGGACCTATTACCAGCTGACATTTTCCTGCCTCCTTAGACAGGAACCATCAGATAAGGGTACTTCCATTTTCCTCTTGCCCTCAGAAAGGCACAGAATCGGCGGGGCGGGGGGGTCAAGTAAGATTTTCCCACCATCAGTGTGCTATCTATGGCTGCATTTAGTTTTATTTTTCATTAAGCAACAGCCTCTTAAGGAGAAGATCTCTTCCCTTCTTGTCTAGCAAGGAGCTGGAAGGACAGCCCTGCTCTTCTCCAGGTGAAATGGCTGGTCCCACCTCTGATCCCGAGCGACATTACTGCCCCAGTGCTGAGGCTCCTCTTGGGAGGAGGTGGGTGCTGTTGTGCTGGCAAACTCGGCGTTTTCCTCCTTTAACGGGAAGGCCTTCCCAATGGGTATCGAGTCCTCATTATCCTCTCCTGGAGGGGTCAGTTGAGAAGGCAGCATAATGCTGTATTGAGACCCTTTTTGGGGGAACAGGGGAAGGAGAGATTAAGGGATGTGCCCAAGGTCACACAGCTGTGGGATGCAGAGGCAGCATTTGAGGGCTGCTTTCTGTGGAGCAGATGAGAACTTCAGCTGCTAGGGGTGGGAGGGGCGACTTGTTCAGCAGAGTCAAGTGCTCCTCCTGGGCATGTTGTCTGCGCAAAGCTTAGGGAACCAGGTGTGTCTCTGTGTGTGCTGGTGGGAGCTGGTGGGTGGGATGGGAAGGTGGAGAGATGACTTTTGCAGTCTAATTGGCTCATTCCAAGGACAGCCTGTCACCAGAGGCAGGTGCCTTGAGACTCGGAGAGAGACGCCTCCTCACTCCCCCATGCCAGGTGGGGTACAGACAGAGACAGACTCAGCCACATGAAACTGCAGAGAGAGATAAACACAGAAACAACAAACAGAAAAAGGAACGTGAAGACTGGCCCAAGACATAGGGAGCCACAGGGGCAACTGAGAGAAGAGCTCACCAGCATCCAAAGAGATGCAAGTCAGAGAGAAATACCCAAGGCAAATGAGGCCTGAGAGAGTGGTCCAGACTTAGAGAGACAGGTGAGAAGCCAGAGAGATGCAACTAGAGACCTCGGAAGGCAGAGATGCAGGAGAGATCTTAACCCATGCACATGGAGGCGTGAAGATAGCAAGACAAGGAGAGAGACAGAGCCAGCCACACAAACCCTCTTATTCCCAGGAAGAGCAGCCAAGGAGATGAGAAAACAGTTTGCTGAATGAAGCCCGGCAGACCTCGAGAGAGTCAGTCCCCTAATGGTCAATCAGCGCATGACTCAGAAATTGGGGCTGGTGAGTCTGTGGCGGCAGAGAGGGTGCTGGGGTGAAGGCCAAGCCTTCCCTCTGCACCTGGACGAGGTGCCCAGAGCCCAACCCAAGGGTGGGTAGTACAGACCTTGCACCCACCTGCTCCTGGCCATTTTACTGAGCCTCAGCAGTGGCGATGATCATTGTCAGGAAGGTCCCAGCCCTGATCCCCATCTGCCAGCTCCAGCTTGGCTTGCAGGGAGCAGACAGCCTGCTCTGTTGTGCCGGCTCCTGGCTGCACAGCCTGCTGTCGCTCTGGCCTCCCCACAACTCTGCCCCTCAGAAGCTTCTGAGGGGAAGGAGGAGAGGGAGCGCTGCATGTTTAGGAGATATGGCATAGACAAACCAGATACACCAGAATGGTCACGTTACTCTGCAAGCATAAATTGAGCTCAGGCAACAGGCACTAGGTAAGTGTTTGCATGAAGGTGCAACCTGTTTAAAAGGAACCTTAACTGGTCTGGGCCAGTTGTAATGAGAGAGCACCTTGTAAATGGGAGAGCATAGCCAGGTGAGCTTGGCAGCTGTCAGATTAAAAATCAGTTTTGACCAAAATAAATCTATTATGGTTCTAGAAATGCCCCCTGGACCAGGAATGCAGAACAGGGGCTGTGTGACTTTATTCCCCATCATCTCTTCCACACCTGGCACTGAATGGGCACTGAATCCGTTGAAGACTGAATGAGTTCTAACATGTCCATCCATATTAATAACTAAGATTTATCTAGTGCTTGCTACAGGCCAGACATTTGGCCAAGCACGTTGCATTATATCTAATCCGGCAATGCCTCTAAGGGATAGGGACTCTTACATTACATTTTACAGTTAGGAAAGTGAGACCCACTGGGGCAAAGTGATTTTTCCAAGATTACAAGTGGGAAATGATGCGGCTGGTCTTGGTACCTGGGTTGCCTGAATCTAGATATGGCAATCTTGCAGTGCCATTGGGCAGCTTTTCATAAAACATTGTTCTAGTTGGCACAGTTTTTCATACCTGTTACCTGAATGGCTTTGCAAACCAGTTAGCTCTAAGCTGCCCCCATCTCTGGGTTGGCTACTGCAGCAGCCTCCTCCCTGGTCCCCTGACTCCCCTTCCGCCCCTCCAAATGACTCCCCCTGGCAGCAGCCAGGGTGACCTCAGCAGGCAAGTCTCATTAGAGTGTCTCAGAGAACCGGTGCTTCCCATTGCTTGTGGGGTAAGGACATAGTTCCTGAATGCAGCCCACCAGACCCTACCAAGCACACGGCCTCTTAACCAGCAGCCATGAGCTATCAGGGGGCTGAGAAATCAATGTCATGGCTTGTGACCTTAAAGCAAAGACATAGAATGAGCTAGAATAGAAATAGAATAGAAACTCTCAGAGAGGTCACATTTAATGTGGCAAGAATAACTGCTTCATCAGTCTTTTTGAAGTGGATGTATGCAGGTAATTACACATGTATGCACATGTGTGTGTTCTACGTTCCGGGTCAGCAAGCAAAATGTGTTTCTTACCATAGGGCATCATAAAAAATGTGGGAATTCAGTCATATAGGAGCTCCTGATCTAAGCTCATGCAGCCCACACCCCTTTCCTCTTAGCTCACAGCCACATGGTCAGCTTTAAGCCCCTTTCAGCTTTAGTTAAAGACACAGGGCTTTTGCCTGGAATGTTGTTCCTGCCTCTTCATTTAGATAACTTGACCATTCTTTCTTTCTTTCTTTTTTTCTTTTCTTTCTTTTTTTTTTTTTTTGAGAAAGAGTTTCACTCTTGTTGCCCAGGCTGGAGTGCAATGGCACGATCTCAGCTAACTGCAACCTCTGCCTACCGGGTTCAAGTGATTCTCCCGCCTCAGCCTCCCCAGTAGCTGGGATTACAGGCACCTGCCACCATGCCCAGCTAATTTTTAAAAAATATTTTTAGTAGAGACAGGGTTTCATCATGTTGGCCAGGCTGGTCTCAAACTCCTGACTTCAGGTGATCCACCTGCTTAGGCCTCAAAGTGCTGGGATCACAGGCGTGAGCCACTGCGCCCAGCCTGACCTCATTCTTTCAATCTCAACTCAGGCACCGCTTCCTCCATGAGCCCTCCCTGGCCCTCCCCACCCCGACCCTCACCCAGTATCCACCCACACAGCACCAGGGACTTCCCCTTTATAGCGTTTCTCACTGCTGCACTTTGACATGTGCTCAAGTACTTATTCCACTGATGGCAGACCCCCCACTAGTCTGTGCTCCATGGGGATGTCACCTAGGGGAGGACAGCCTGTCTTAGAGTGCCCGATGGGGTCTGGGACAGGTTTATTTTTGCTAACCATCGTTCCCTGTGTCTAGCTAGCACCATGTCTGGAATATAGTAGGTGTTCAACAAATGCATGGAGATTGAATGGATCTGGAGAGGCAGAGTACTGCTGTGATCTTTATAGATGAGGAAGTGGAGCCCCGGAGAGCCCTAGAATGATGCGCTTAATGCCCCAGCCAGGTTAATCTCTAGAAGCCCTTCTGCTCTTCACTCCCACCATGGCATTTCGCAGTCCCCAAAGTCTGGCTTGAGGTGTCAGTCTGAGTCCTCCCTCACTCTCCCTGCCCTCCTCACCCTCTTGTCCACAGCTCCCTCCCACTGTGGCCTCTGGGCTCCTTTTCCCTCTCCAGCTGGCTGACATAGGGGGTGGCTGGGGGAGGCACAACTCAGAAAGTGACAGCGACAATATTAGGAGTGAAAAAGATCAATTAAGCCCATCGAGCTGATTTGTGAAGCTGATTAAATTAGGAGCCTCCCTGGGGGCAGAGGCTCTCTCAGGTTGATAGACCCAGCTGCTGGCTGCTGTAGGGTCCTTGCCAGCCCCCAGGGTGCAATGGGGGCCACTTTGTCCTGCTCTGTCCACGGAGAGGGGATGAGGGGAAGCTCCCTTTAGAAAGCCCTGGCAGGGCCAAGCTCAGCACCCAGCCCATGGTCCCCTGTGCTTTCTTATAGAATCCCCTGCAATCCTGGGGCACTGAGTAGATTGGCCTGACTTTAAAATAAGATCCTGGGCCTCAGAGAGCTTAGGTGGCCTATGCGGGGCAACCCAGCTGGTAGGCACAGGTAAGTGCTGGACCTGGGACTGGAAACCAGGTCCTTCTGTTCCCTATGTGTTCTGTCCTCTCCTTGCCCTGTCCCCATATCCGGCTTCAACATCTCGGTCTATTACTCTATTTTTCCAGTCTCAAGGCTCCTGTCCCCACTGCCCACCCCCTCCCCCTTTGACTGGCTCTAATCAGATTAGCTCTCCAGTAACCCGATCCCTCTGCCCTGGTCTCAGGATTCCCTTTCATGGACTGTCTCCAGGGCAGCTGTGGCCAGAATATTCTTCCAGTACTTCAGAATCCATCCGCTTCTCCTGGCTTCTGGGTGGGGGCTGGGGAGAGGGATTTGGACAAAGACTCTAGTGTGTGTAGGGGCAATGAACCCTGGGGAGGTTACAGAAATGAGGTCGGCTTCTCCAGAGTGCACGAGCTAGGGAAGGGAGCGCCTTGAAAGCCAGGCTGCAGAATTTGGCCATCCTCAAACACCACCTTTAATGGCAAAGGAGGGATGGGAAAACTCCTGAAGACCAGGTAGCCATGGAGTGCTACATTTCTGGATGGAAAGGGGACCACACAGGTGACACTTGGAGTGGCAGGTGCCCGGGAAGGAGTGCTGCGTGTGGGTTGGGGTGGGGTTTGAGGTGGGAGAACAGAGGAGGGCTTCACTCAGGGGTGGGCTTGGGGCTGGGTCAGGAAGAGGACTGACAAGCCTGGAGGGGTGAGAGTATTTCAAAGATCCCTGAGGGTCCTTTAGCTCTTGGCCAGAGATGGGGCTGCAGGGGGAGAAACTGACCCTTAGACAGGGCCTGATTTCTCTCTCTCTCTCTCCCTCCCTCCCTTCCTTTCTTTTCTTTTTTTGAGACAGAATCTCACTCTGTCACACAGGCTGGAGTTCAGTGGCACAATCTCGACTCACTGCAGCCTCCGCCTCCTGGGTTCAAGTGATTCTCCTGCCTCAGCCTCCCGAGTAGCTGGGATTACAGGCATGTGCCACCACAATTGGCTAATTTTTGTATTTTTAGTAGTGATGGGGTTTTGCCATGTTGGCCAGGCTGGTCTCGAATTCCTGATCTCAAGTGATCTGCCCACCTCGGCCTCCCAAAGTGCTGGGATTATAGGCACAAGCCACTGTTTCCAGCCTGATTTCTTATACCTAGGTCTTCTTTCTTCCTTAGAGCAAGTCTGTGACAAATCTATAATTAATTTAAAAAAATACACACAAGCAAACACGGGCTCAGAGTTGTGTAGATGTAAGTGGTAGAATCAGAACTCACACCTAAGTCTACGGGGCCTTCGGAGCCTGGGACCTTCCGTGGACTAACTGCTAAAACTTCTGCAGTCTCGAAGTCAGGGGGCAGAGCTAGGGAGCCCCACAAGCCTCAGAGGGCCAGATAGGCTGGTGGTTAGGAGCACAGGTTTTAAAATTAGACTGAGTTCACTCTCCTGGCTCTGCAGCTTGCTTGCTGTCTGGCCTTGGCCAAGTTAATTTGCCTTTGTGTAGTTTACTTTCTTTCTCTATAAAGTGGGGATATTAATAGTACCTACCTCATGGGGTTGTTGTGAGGGTTAAATAAATGTACTCCCATGAAGAATTCCGAACAGTGTTGTCATTTGATAAATGTCAGCCATTCTTACTCAGGATGGAGCCAGGATATAGGGGCATTAGGCCAGGCCAGGGAAGGCAAAGACCTCTAAGCCAGTGCTCCCTGCTGTCTTCACATGTCTGTGAGTCTGAGCTACCTGTGCTGGTGGGGCCTGGGCTGTCTGGCTGCCCAAAGTGGCTGACACCCATAAGTCATTGTCCATCTCCAGATTTGAGTCCTACAGCCTCTTCCCATCTAACTGGCATGGAAACTGAGGCTCAGACAGGTTGCCGCAGATCTGCTCTTTGATTTGGGGCAAGTTAGTCCTAGAGCCCTACCCCCAACCCAGAATCTGAATCCTGGTCCGGGGTCTCTAAATTACCCTGCAACTGGTTTAATTTTTTCCAGGCGGACGCCATCCTCATGGCAGAAACATTTTTTCTGTAATCTTATTTGCAACTGCTAATGAGAAGCAGGGCCGCTTTCTGTTTCTAAACCTCATCCACATCTCTAATTTGTTTCCAGAGGCTGGGGCTGAGGCTTCTTCCATCTCTGTGAAATATTAGCAATTATTTCTCAATTACTTCTCATGGGGAAGGGATTCTTGGAGACGGAAATCTGGAAGCTGGGAGAAGCCATAAGGATGATGTTTTGATCTGACGTGAACCTTGCCGAGAGGCACACATGCTCTGTCATCCCTGCTCCAACTTGAAGGCTAGGCTGGGTGGCATATGACTCTGTCCCCGTCTCTTTCCTCACTGAGCCTCCGGCCCAGCTTGGTTCCCAAACATGGAGCTGCTGCAGGTCTCAGAAGCCACAGAGAACTGGGGAGGGAAAGGGAGGAGAAAAGTCTTCTTTGTAGTCTCACTAAACGCAGCTCTGTCACTACAGCTTATAGGATCACAGGCCTTAGGGTCATCCTTGGCTCTTTCTCTCACACCACAAACCCAATCTATGAGTGAATCCTCTGGGTTCTACCTTCAGAATCCATCCAGAATCTGACTGCCTCTCACCATCTCCACGGCTCCCTTCTAGTCCAAGCCAGCAACATCATCCACCTGGATTATTCAGTAACACCCTGACTAGTCTGCCTGCTATCACCCTTTGCACAGAAGCCAGGGGGATTGTTTTGGAATTCCACTTTTCACGCAACTATTTGTCCTTTTAGCTATAGTACTTTGCATTTTTTAAAGTGGTTTTTTTTTCAGTTCTAGAGATTACACATATGTCCTTAACTTTTCACAGTCAGTTTAGAGTTAATACTTTATCACTTTATGTAAAATATAAACCTCTTACAAATATTTGCCATCCCCATTGTATGCTATAGTTTTCATATGCATTACATCTATATACATTATAAACCCTATAAGACAATGTTATCATTTTTGCTTTAGTTATCTGCATATTAAGGAAATTAAGAGGAAAATTAACTTATAATTTTATATATTTAGCAATATTTTACCATTTCTGATGTTTTTTATTTTTTATTTTTCTTGAGGATCCAGTGCCTCTTTGATTTTATTTTGCTTCATTCTGAAGAACTTCTTTTAGTATTCTTATAGTCCATGTCTTCTGGTGACACAATCCATACATTTTCTTTTAAATGAAAATGTATTTTGCCTTCCTTATTAACTAATATTTTCACTAGATTTAGAAATCTGGGTTACAGCTTTTTTTTTTCTTTGCCCTTTAAATGATGTTACAATGCTCCTTCTGTACTCGTGGGGAATTGGGTTCAGGACCTCCCCATGGATGCCAAAATCCGTGGATGCTCAAGTCTTTTATGTAAAATGGCATAGTATTTGCATATAACTTCTGCACATTCTCTCATACACTTTAAAACATCTCTAGATTACTTATAATACCTAATACAATGTAAATGCTATGTAAATAGTTGTTGTATCATTTAAAAATTTTTACTCTTTTTTATCGTTGTATTGTTATATTTTATCTTTGAAAAATATTTTCCATCTGAGGTCCCATGACTGTGTTCTGCTTCAGGCCTCCATAGTTTCTGGTAAGAAGTCTGTGGTTATTTGAATCTTTGTTCCTCTTTGTAATGTGTCTTTTTTTCTCTGGCTGCTTTCAAGGTTTTCTTTTTATCTTTTATTTTAGCAGTTTGAATGAGTGTATGTAAATTTGTTTTGCACCAATTTGCAAAGTGGGTGTTGTTGTTTTTTGCCACTATTTATTTCTTTTTTTCTCTTTCTCTCTCTTTTTTTTTTTTTTTTTTTTTTTTTCTGAGAAGGCTGCTGGTCTTGAACTCCCATGCTGAAGCGTCCTCTAGCCTCAGCCTCTTGAGCAGGTGGGTTTGTGCCACCATGCCGTTTTGCCATTATTTCTTAAGAAAAAAAATTATGCTCTCTTATTCCTCTCCTTCCTTCTGGCACTCCAATTATGCATATATTAGATCTCTGACGTTATCCCACAGGCCTCTTAGACACTGTTCACTCTTTTATACCCCCCCTTCCCCTGCCCTCTTTTTTTTTTTTTTTAGGCTAAATGGCTTTTGTTGATCAACTTAAGCTCACAGCTATTTATTTATTTATTTATTTGTTTATTTTTGAGATGGAGTCTTGCTCTGTCACCCAGGCTGGAGTGCAGTGGCATGATCTCAGCTCCCTGCCTCCTGGGGTCAAGGCCTCCTGCCCCAGCCTCCCGAGTAGCTGGGATTATAGCTGTGCGCCACCATGTCCAGGTAATTTTTTGTATTTTTAGTAGAGACAGGGTTTCACCCTGTTGGCCAGGCTGGTCTCAAACTCCTGACCTCAGTGATCTGCCTGCCTCGGCCACCTGAAGTGATGGGATTAAAGGCGTGAGCCATCATGCCCGGCCATCTTCATTCTGTTTTAGGCCTATACAGTAATTGTTTAAAATATTCCAGGTATTGTATTTTTTAGTACTGGAATTTCCACTTGGTTCTTTCTATATTTTTATTTCTCTTTAGAGGTTTCCTATCTCTTCATTTATTATGAATGTATTTTCTTTTGCCTTGTTTAGCACAGTTATAATAACTGTGGTACTTGTCTGATAGCTTCAAATTCTGGGTCATCTGAGAGTTGATCTCCATTGACTATCTTTACCCTTGAGGATGGATTATATTTTCCTAATTTCTTGTGTGTTGATTTTGGGTTTTATCCTGGACACTGGAAATGCTATGTTGTAGAGATTCTGGAGTTTGTCATAGTCCTCCAAAGAGTGCTGACGTCTTTGTATTAGCAGGCATTTCACCTGGTTAGACTCAAACTACTAACTGTTTTGCCTTTAGTGGGCTGCACCTCAAATCACAGCTCAGTTCTTTAAGCCTTAGTTGCAAGTTGTCTTGAATCTTCTCTATGCATGTGTGATTCAGAAGTGAGCCAGATACTTGATCAGAGTTTACTAACAGAATTTGGGCCTTTTCTGGCACTTTCCTTTCCAGAAAATCCCCCTTCCTTTCCAGGGGCTCTGGTTGCTCTAGGTTCTGTCCTCTGGTTCTTCAGGCCATATAAACAGCATTTTCTACTGGACTTTTAGCAGCCCTGAACAAGGCCACAGCTGCAGCCTGCCCTCTGGGTAAAGTCATCAAAGTGGAAAACTTACCACATACTGGTCCCTTCTTACAAGTTTCAACATCCTTCCAAAATCTGCCTGCTTTTGGTCATTCTGGTCTTTTGATCATTTTGATTATTTCAGAGCCCTCCAGCAATTGTTTTCTGTATTATATCCAGAATTTATAGATATTATTTGTGGAAGGGTATACCTGTTAGGAGATCACTCCACTCCACTGGAAGAGGAACTTCCAGAGTGTCCTTTTTAAAACTTCTCAGACTGTGCCATTCCTCCCCTCAACTCTCCCCACTCTCGATGGCTCCCATTTTACTCAAAAGCCCAAATGCTCACAATGGCCTATGAAGCTGAGAATAATCTAGCTTCAGACTGTGTCTGACCTGTGCCCTTTTACCTCACCTTTGCTCATTGGTGGCCTCTTTGTTGTTCCTCAAACATACCTGCCTGATACACTCTTACAAGACAGCTCCATGGCCGGCAAGGCCCTGCCCCCTCCAGCCCCATCTTTAGCCATTTGCCCCGACTCTTGACACTCCATCCCCACTGGTCTGTGGTCAGCCTCGGCTCAGGCCATGTCCTTTTCCACCGTAGGGCCACTTCTTCTGCCTGCAGCAACCTTTCCTAGACTTTTCTTCTGTATATTATTCCTACTAATCCTTCCCTCTCGTAGAAATGACTGCTTCTGGCCAGGCGCGATGGCTCACACCTGTAATCCCAGCACTTTGGGAGGCTGAGGTGGGTGGATCACCTGAGGTCAGGAGTTTGAGACCAGCCTGGCCAACATGGTGAAACCCCATCTCTACTAAAAATACAAAAA
Organism: Homo sapiens; assembly: GCF_000001405.40. Taxonomy (NCBI): domain Eukaryota; kingdom Metazoa; phylum Chordata; class Mammalia; order Primates; family Hominidae; genus Homo; species Homo sapiens. Next base: position 78,299,338 of record NC_000010.11, read on the forward strand.
TTAGCTGGGCGTGGTGGCGCTGCCTGTAATCCCAGCTACTCAGGATACTGAGGCAGGAGAATCACTTAAACCTGGGAGGCAGAGGTTGCAGTGAGCCGAGATCGTGCCATTGCACTCCAGCCTCTGGGTGACACATCGAGTCTCCCACTACAAGAGGTGATTGGTACTCTCAGGGTATGTAACACTTCTTCATACCATATCACACACTTAACAATCATTTATTTACTGGAAATGCTTTGTTTGCTCATTAATTTTGAGTGCTGTGAGGGCAGGCATTCCATTTGTTTTCCTCCTTTCTGCACCCCAGGCACCCAGCACATACTAGGCACCCAGTAGATACCTGGCATCTGACTGTCAGGGCCCAGCATGGAAGCCGAGGCAGGTCAGTGAGGAACCTTTAAGAAGTCCTTGCTGTGTACACAGCCTTACAATGTATGTGGGTAGCTATTTCACCTCCTTGTTACTTTTAGAGAAATGGAGGCTCTGAGAGGAGAAATGGCTTACCCAACGTCATGCGACTAGAAATTCCAGCTTGAAGCCTCATGGCAGGAGAGCTCAGACCAGCAGAGAGACCTCAGATTGCTCCCAGCCTTGGCCTGCCTGTCACACTTCCTCTTTGCCCTGGCAGCTGCAGGGTTGTTGACTGCACAGAGTTTTTCTTCCCTTTTCCTTTCTTTCTCTCTCTCTCTTTCCCTCCCTCCCTCCTTCCTCTCTGTGTCTGTCTCTGGTGTCTGAGTTAGTTCCTTATGGTGAGTTCTTGGTCTCCCTGACTTCGAGAATGAAGCCGTGGACCTTCGCGGTGAGTATTACAGCTCTTAGAGGTGGCACAGACCCAAAGAGTGAGCAGCAACAAGATTTATTGTTAAGAGTGAAACAACAGAGTTTCCACAGCCTGGAAGGGGACCCAAGGAACTTGCCACTGCTGGCTGGGGTGGTCAGTTTTTATTTCCTTATTTGTCCCCGCCCACATCCTGCTGATTGGTCCATTTTCCAGAGTGCTGATTGGTCCATTTTACGGAGTGCTGATTGGTCCATTTTACGGAGTGCTGATTGGTCCATTTACAATCCTCTAGCTAGACACAGAGGGCTGATTGGTACGTTTTACAATCCTAGCTACAGAGTGCTGATTGGTGCATTTATAATCCTTTAGCTAGACACAGAGCACTGATTGGTGCATTTACAATCCTCTAGCTACCCAGAAAATTTTGCCAAGTCCCCACTTGACCCAGGAAGTCCAGCTGGCCTCACCCTTCACTTTCTGTTTCCCCAGGATTCACAACTGGGCTCCTCTTGCTGTGTTGGAGGGAGATGTTTCACCTGAGCACCATGTTTCACATGGCAGTGGGGCAAGGCACTGAGGCTGTGTGGCATGGCACCACAGGGTGGCCACTGGTCCCTGAGTCGGCAGACCTGGCTCTCTTTTCCCTGCCATGCTGACTTCATGTTTATGGCTAAGAAGCCTCTCCCAGGGAGCAGCTGAGCTTCAGGGGCATTCCTGGAGCGTCCAGGAGAGCAATATGGCCCTTTGCTGGTGGAGAACCTGAGACCCTCAAGGAGAAAGTGAAGAAAATTCTCTCTGCATACAGACCCCTTCCCATTTTCCCATTCTGGGTTGACTATCCTCCCTCATAGATGTGCTCATGAGTCTTGGAAATTCTCTTGACTCATTGCCATTTAAAATATCTGTGTTGCTTCTGATGATAGATGGTTGATTTATAAAATGGTTTGGCTCTCTTTATGATAGAATATTATACAGGCATCAAAAACAATAATGTAGGAGACAAGGATATGAGGAGATGTTCAAGCTGTATTCTGTGAAAAGAAAAAAAGATTGCAGAATACAGCATATGTTCCCATTTTTTTTTTTTTTTTTTTTTTACAAAAATGTGGACCTAGGTACATAATGTGTGCTATGCATAGGAAAAAGCCTGGAGAACTTGCACGAAATGGTCACACTGTTTTTCAGTGATGGTAAGATAAAGGGTAATTTTAAAAATTCCTATTCTTTTCCAGATTGTTTCTAACACTGCGCATGCCTTTCGGAGACAAATTTTAAAAATAAACATTATTTTTAAAAGGAAACAAACAAACAAAACCAAACAGAAGGGAGGCTGGGTTTCTTGGGGATTTCGGGAGTGCCTGTGTCTCCACGACCTGGGCAGTGCTCTTCTGAGAGGACTGAGGGCTGGGGAGGCAGAGAGAGCAACGACAGGCTACCAGCATTGAGAAAGAAGGCCTCAAGGCCACATTGAGAAGGACACTACGCTCTGGATCACAGGCTGAGCCCTGCATTCTTGACATTGGAGCCCTTCGGGAGTGCCAGAACGAGCAGTCCCTCTCCTGGAGGAGCCTGCCTTCCCACCACGGAGGCTAACACCACAACAGCCACAGTGAGCCACCCCTTCTGCCCATCTTCTTACGTGTCAAGCACTGTGTTCAGTGCCTTCACAGGTAACTTCGATAAGTCACGATGGGCATGCTGCGACTAAGTTGGTACTGATATTCTATTGGTTTTAAATGGGGAAACTGAGGCTCAGGAAGGTTCAGTATTTTGCTGGAGGTCACACAGCCAGGCAAGGGCAGAGCCAAGATTTCAGTTTCAATCTGTCTGGCTTGGAAGACTTCCTTATCTTGTGGCAGCATCTCCAGAGATCATGGGTCAGCCTCTTCTTGCCAGAGGCGTGTGTGTGTGCACAGACACATACACGCTGAGTGACAGAGGGACAAAAACAGTGAGCACCCACCCAGGCACTGTGCTCGAAATTCTTCCTGCAAACCTGCAAGGTAGGTTCTAATGATGTTCCCATTTACCCCTAAGCTTGCGCGGTGGCACGATTTACCAAGCATCACCGGCTGCCCAGGGTGACCTAGGATTCCAGCTCAGGTTTCTCTGACACTGATGTTGACCCTAGTGTGCTTCCGTGTGATCTTGCTTCTCTGGCTACTGGTGTTCTGCGGGTCTTGGACAGGTGAGGCAAACTAGGGCCAAATACTGCCCTCTGCCTGCCTTTGCATGGTCCCTGAGCTGAGAATGATTTCTACATTTTTAAAGGGTTGTAAAAACAAAACTCAAAGATTATGTGGCAGAAATATACATGGCTGGGCAAAGCCTAACATATTTACTTCCTGGCCTTTTAGAGAAAAAGTTGACGACTCCTAGCTTAGGGTCCTGAGGTCCAAGGAGGAACTCCTGGTCCTGCACATCTTCATCCTCCACATTTGGTGGTCCCAATGCTGCATGCGAGCTGTGGCTGTGGACTCAAAGCACTGTGGTGGGGGACATTTTAAAAATGAGCTGTAAAAATCTGCCACACTTAGGGCACTCATTTTCCCACTTATATTTTGGGGGGATATCTGTACCCAGGGAAAAGCTCAGTGATCCTTGTTGGATTTCTAGGGTGAAGGGCTTTTATCTCAGCATGGGGTCAAGTGCAGCTATGTGTGGGTGGCAATGAACTTCAACATCTAGCGTGATTCCCCTGCAAATTGGAAGGCACCAGTGCCACCCCAGGCACCAGCCTTGAGTGTCAGGCATAGTGCCAGGTGCACAAGAAGAAAGCAAGGTCCCTGCGGATCTCATACAGCCCAGTCTGGGGAAGCAGGGGAGCCCCTCTTGGGTATCCGAGTTGGAAGAAGAGGCTATGAGAATGGGAGGAGGGGCAGGGAGGACAGCCAGGAAATGCAGGCGGTGACACCTGCGCTGTGCCCTGAGAGATGAGGCGTTACGCGGACTTGGGGGAAGGGACGTGGGGAAGTTGGTGCTGGCCAGGCGCGGCGGCGGGAAAGGCCCTGGGCAAAGGGGCCCAGAGGGGCGGCGGAAAGTGGAGCGGGGCTGTAGGTGTCAGCAGAGACGCGGCTTTGGGGCCGGCACGGCCCGCCCCTCGGCCCGCGCGGCCATTGTCTGCGCCAGGCGCCGCCTTGGCAGCAGAAGGTGACATCTGGTGACTAATGGCCGCGGCTGCGCGCCGCGCTCCTCCCTCCCGCAGCGCCCGGGGCGCAGCTGCCGCGCCGCCTCCTCCCCACTCTTCTCCCCTCCCCTTCCCTCCGCTCTGTGGGCCAGCGCGGGGGCGCGGGGCGGGCAGGATCGATGCCCTGGTTTCCGAAGGGCAGAGGCCGCCCGACCTCCAGCCGGCCGGGCCGCCCCGCCCCGCCCCACCATCGCGCATGCGCGTCCTCCAGAGCGCTCCCTTGGCAGCCAGCCCGCGAGGACGCGGCTCCCCGCCAGGGGCAGTGCAGGGAACAGTCATGCCTCCCTGCCCCCGGACGGCCTCACTAGCGGCTGCAAACACCGGCCCATACCGGAGCCTATATGCATGTGCATTAACTCGCAGGTGCACGAACCCACGGTCACACGTGCTGTCATGCATTGTACACCTGTGCTTGTTCATGCGTGTTCACAGACGCATACGTGGGGGCCGTGCTCGCCCACAGACTTACCTCCAAAATGTCTTTGAGTGTGTTCACATAGGTACACGCATCACGTGTGGACTCGCGCAGCCATGCACTGCTTACACACTCAAATATAGGAACACCCATGGGCATGTCTATATATACACTCACAGGCACAGCAAGTGATGCCCTTGTTCTTGCCAAAGGTTGAGGGAGGGACAAAGCGCCTAATTTAGATCTGAGACAGGATCTAGTGTGGACTAGGTACCCCTCTTCCCCAGTGTTTACACTACTTATAAATTAGTTGCGTTTGAGAAACTACATAAAAAACCTGGAGATTTCACCTATAGATCTGGATTTCTGGCTTCTTTTGCAAAATCAGAAGCTCGGGAAAATTAAGGCATACTCCCAGCTTATCACAATGCGCTGGGGCTGAGCTGCAGGGTATCCCTCAGTCTGTGATTAAAGTTCCCCTACCTCCACCCAAAGGCCCCCTCCCCATGCTGGTTCCTTCTTCCCTAGCCAGGATTTCCCACGTGGAGCCTCAGCCCTAGCCCTGACTTTGGAGCTGGGCTAACTAGCTTTAGCCCTGATGTCCACAGCAAGGAGATCCTCTCCACTGTATGATGTTGGGGGGGGGGGTGCTGCCAGCCATAAGGAATCCCTCTGCAGTCTGCAAAGTACCCTCTTCACGCAAGGACGTGGTTCACCACAGCAGAACCACGTGTGGTTCTGCTGACAGCTCCGAGAGCAGAGCGCTAGTGCTTCCATCTTATAGTTGAGAAGATGGCGGCTTGGGAGTAATGATATTACCACCTAGTTGGAAAGTGCAGATGGGGTTGCAATCACTGTAGCTGAAGTGTGGGAGGGGGAGCAGGGTTCCTCTACTTTAAGGTGCCCCTGAAGCTGGCTCCTGCCTGGCTCTGGCACATCTGTCTCCCCTCTCTGATATTGTTCCTCTCAGCCTCTGGCCTGGTGGGGACGCCTGGTTCACTGAGGGAGAGGCCAGTTCCTGAAGCTTCTGGGTGTCTGCATGATGTCAGGCTCTGGCTAAACTAGCGAGTGGCAGCCCAAGAGGCAGTGGGGAGCTATGTGGATGTTAGTGTCACCCACTGCCCACCAGTCCTGGTGCCCCTTACTCCTGCATCATCTCATCCACTCAAGGGCTCTGGCTACCTCTGAGGGCTGACACCCTGCCCAGTGGCTCACCTGAGCGCCTGTCTCACTTATTCTTCTCCACTGGAAATCTGGCATGTCCTTGACTCTCAGCATGTCCAAAGCCAGTCTGTGAAGTGGGGTGACCTCAGGTGGGGTGTCCAAAGTGGGTATAGCCTGAGCTCAGATCCCAGCTCTCCTTCTCCCTCCCTGTGTGACCCTGGACAAGTAATTGCCCTCTGTGCCTTCAGTGTCCTCCTCTGCAAACTGAGAACCATAATAGTACCTGCTTTGAGGATTGCCCAGTGAGGATTAATTGAGGAAATTTACACAAAGCAATCTGTGTGGTGCCCAACACAGATCCGGTGCTCAGTCAATACCAGTGCTTTTTAACTTTAGCTGGTTCTTCCTTCCGCTGCTCCCACCTTGGTTGGTTTGTACTTTCACCAACCCAGGACAGGATGCTGAGAATTACTCCTGCTCCTCTCTTTGCATCTTCCACACATTCAGTCCTGTCAATTTGACCTCCCCAATATCTCTGGAGTCTGCGCTCTCCTCTCACCCAGGGTGCCTCTGCTCTGGTTTGGTTTGGTGTCACCTCTGGTCTGCACACTTGTGTCCCCTAGCCAGGTTCCCAGGCTGCAGGCTCCTCGAACTTAAATCCAGTTTCATTGCTGCCTTTGAAATGCACATGGTGTCACTCCACTCTTAAGGTGCACATCCAAGCTTCATGACCTGGCATTCACTGTGGGTGGCTGAAAGGATAGCCATGGGTCTAGGGTGAAATTTTAGGAAGTAAAGCTGGATGTGTGCTTTTTCTCTCACCGTCCTGTGTCTGCCAGACCTCACATTTAGCAGCCAGTGGACCCTTCACTCCCACCTATCATACACATTTTCTCCCCTCCATGCCTTTGCCCAAGCTGTACTCTCTGCCTGGAAATCCCCTTCCCCACAATTCCAACTCTGCTTTCTGTCTTGAGCTCACCTATCCAGACCCTCCAGCCTCCCTTTATATTCAGTTGTTACCTCTCTCTCATGATCTGCTTAGAGCACCCTGCATATATTGCCTTGATTTTGCACTTAACCTCATTTGTCATATTTCTCTGTTTACATACCACCCAGACCAATGCTTCTCAAGCTTTATCAGGCACATGAACCACTTGGGGCTCTTTTCCAAATGCAGATTCAGCTGGTCTGGGCTGGTGTCTCTGTATTTTTAACAAGCTCCCTGGTGATGCTAATGGTGCTGGTTCAGGACTATATTTTAAATAACAAATACTTGGATAGTGAGTCCCTAGAGGGCAATGACTTGTGTTCAGTTCATCTTGGTATCCCTGGTACCTAGCTAACAGCTTGACAAATGGAAAATCAATTAAATGCCTACTGAAGTAAACGAATGAATGAATGAATGAACGAAAGGCATCTCATCCAGATGAGAGTGTTGGAAAGTCTTTTGGAGTTGTTGACACCTGAGTTGCATTGTTAGGGAGGTATAGGAGGGAGCCAGGTAGAGAAGGCAGTGGCGGGTTGAGATACTCCAGGTGAAGGTCAGTGCTAAGGCATAGGGATGTACAGAAGTGCAGGTGCAGGATAGTGTAGGAATGGAAGACTTGAAGTTCAAGGTGTTGGGGAAAGAGACCAGGTCGCCAATAGCCAGCCCTGGATTCCGTGCTAGCTTGTTTGATCCTAGAGCCTTTGGAGAATGGCATAATTCCAACCGTGGGCCACTCCTGCAGCAAGCTAGGAAGAAATTCCAGGGAGGAGATGTAAGACTGGGTAGTCACCTAGGGGACTTCTCAGTCAATGGTGTGGAGATCAGCCCATGGCGGTGAGGATGGAGTCAGGGAACAGATTAAAGAGAAACTGAGGAGGAAGTATAGACAGAACTTGATGAGTGAGTGGAAAAGAGGGTGAAGGAAGGCCTCCCCCTTTTACTGGGAGGCACCTGGGTGAGTGGTGGCACTGTAGACCGAGACTGGAGTTCAGGAGGAGGAGGAGCTGGTCTAATGGGAAGGCTGAGAAGTTTAATTTCAAAGCTGGCAGGATGTTAAGAGCCTGTGGGACGTCCAGAGCATAGGCACCAGGAGCTCCTGAGAGAGTCCAGGGCTGGAGATGACAGTATGGAGGCATCGGCTGACAGATGCTCACTGAAGTTTTGGGAAAGAATGAGATCATCCGGGAAAATCTTAGAAATAAGAAGAGAAGAAGGGAGAGGGGGGACTCTGGAGGGAAACCATTCATTTAAAGAGCAAGAATTAATGACAACCTGTTAGAAGATAAAATGGGAATAGAACACATTTATAACAGCAACAAAAAAGATAAAAAACCTGGGAATCAACATAACAAGAAATGTGCAAAATCTAACTGGAGAAAGCATTAAAATGCTTCCAAGGGACAAAAAAACATTTGAATAATGCTCTTGGATGGAAAACTAACATCATAAAATTGTCTATTCTCCCTCAGATAATTTAGAATTTAATAAGGTTTTCAATAAAAATGAAGCCTTTGTTGTTGTTGTTTAGACAAACTGATTATAACACTCATATGGAAAAATAAATAAGTGTTGAGAGGCCTCTGCACGAGCAGAAGTAATGACTACCTCTGTTCCAGACTATCTTTGTAAAGACAGACTAGTGAACATGTTTGGAAGATAGAGATAGTGTTTTCCTCTGGAGCAAAGAGCAATTTGTTTACTGTCCAGTATAACAAAGATAATGTCCCCTTCTAGGGCAAAAATCAGGCAAGCTTACTGCCCATTGTAAAAGATTTAGGCTCTCTAAACTGAAAGTTTTTCTCCTGTAACACAACTCACTGCTTGTGCAGGTATCACCTGTCATACTGTGGCACTTGGGGCTTGTGTAACCATCACAAATGCTGACACTCTGGCTACTGCTATTGCCACGAATAATAAAGTCCTTTGTCTCTGACTCAGAAGTCTTGTGTCTTCTGCCAGCACAGAAACAGGACAGGCTAACTTGCTGGTTTGCAGGCAGAGTAAAAACCCTCTTAGACCCTTCACAGTTCTTGACAAGAAGAATAACTAGCAAATATCTGAAAGCAGAATAGTAAGGAGTAGGGGCTACCTTGCCCTGTCGGGTATTAAACCATACTATAAAACTATATTATATAAAACAATGTAGTACTAGACAACACAGCAGAACAAAATCAAATTCCAGAAATTACACATATGCATTATTCAATAAATGGAGTTGAAGCAACTGGAGAACCATCTAGAAAAAAGTGTTGGATCCATATCTCATACTTTATACTAGAATAAACTCCATATGAAACAAAAATGTAACTGTAACAAAATGATAATATAATAAATGTACCAGAAATGTGAGAATTTTAAAACTCTTAGAATGGAAGAACTTTCTAAGTATGACACATGACCCAGAAGCCATAAAAGAAAAGACTGATAATTTTAACTTTTTTTTTTTTTTTTTTTTTGAGATGGAGTCTCTTTCTGTCGCCCAGGCTCAAGTGCAGTGGCGCGATCTCGGCTCACTGCAAGCTCCGCCTCCCGGATTCACGCCATTCTCCTGCTTCAGCCTCCCAAGTAGCTGGGACTACAGGCGCCTGCCACAACGCCCGGCTAATTTTTTGTATTTTTAGTAGAGATGGGGTTTCACCGTGTTAGCCAGGATTGTCTCGATCTCCTTACCTTGTGATCTGCCTGCCTCAGCCTCCCAAAGTGCTGGGATTACAGGTGTGAGCCACCGCACCTGGCCAATTTTAACTTTTAAAACGAAACTTCTGCGTAGCAAAACCCCAACATACACAAAGCTAAAAGACTTTGAAAAGATTTGTAACTTATATTACTGACAAAAAGCATATTTCCTCATAACATAAAAAGTGTCCACAAATCACTATAAAACAGATCAATAACCCAAAAGATAGATGGACAAGATATAAACAGTTATCAAAACCTAGGAGAATATGCCACTTTACTCATAATAAGAGAAATACAATTAAAATTTCACTGAGACATCATTTTCATCTCTCAGTTTGCTTAAGATCAAAACAGTGGATAACACACTGTGTGGATGGGAAAACAGACACTCATTGCTGATTGAAGTGAAAATTTGGGGGTACAACTCAATGGGGGGATATCTGGAATATCTACGGATGTTACAAATGCTTCTGACCCCACAATTCCACTTGTAAGAATATATGCTATGGAGAGATTCCCATACATGAAAAATGATGCATGTAAGATGAGTTGTTACATTGTTTGTAATGGCAAACACTGAAAGCAGCCCAAATAGGCATCAAAAGAGAGATGTTAAGACAAATCAGGTGCATGCATATATGAGTATTCCTGTGATGTACAGATATGGAAAGATTTTCAAGATAGGTTGTTGTGAAGAAAGCAAGACATACTTCAGTGTGCATAGAATACTGCCATTCTTGTGAAAAAGTAAAGGGGTGTGTGTGGAAGAATTTGTAGACATATGTGTGCATACATGCACACTTCTACTTAATATGTCTGTGGAGGAATATATAAGAAACTGATAATGTTGGTTGTCTCTGGGGAGAGGAACCTCACCATTGGGAGGCAGGGATGAGAAGGGAAACTTCTTGTTACACACATTTTTATACCTTTGGAAATCGAGAATACACTACCTCTATAGGGCTTCCCCACAAAAATAACAAAGAGAGTGAGCAGAAGATAGGGAGCCCATGACAGAGACTAAGCCTGTGCAGGTGGAGTCTCAGAGAGAAAGCGGAAGAGAGCTGCACTGGAGGAGCCCACCAAGGAAAACATCTCAAGAAGGAGGTAGGATCCTGGCCTGAATGCTGCAAAGACATTAAGAATTTAGATGAGGATTTGGAGACGTGCAGTCGATGTGTTCATCGGGTCCATGGTGACCTCGGTGAGAGTGCGTTCAATTCAATTGAGTATGTGACTGTGTAAGCCCGAATGCGATGTTTAGGAGAGAACGAAATGTGCAGAATTGGATATGGTAAACACTTTCAGAAAGCTTGGTCATGAAAGGAAGATGAGAAGGTGGAAGCTGATGGGAGACAGGGCAGCTTGTGGGTGTCTCTTTCTTCTCCTCCTCCTCCTCTTTTTCCTACTTCTACTCCCTCTCTTCCTTCTTCTCCTCCTCTGCCTCCTCTTTCTTCTCCTTTTCCTCCTTCTCTTTCTCCTTCTCCTCTTCTCTTGCTCCTTTCCTTCTGATTTTTCCCTTCTTTTCTTTTTCCTCCTCCTTTTCCTCCTTTCCCCTCTCCTCCTTCTTTGTCCCCATCTTCTTTCCCTTCCTCGCCTCCTCCTCATTATAATTATTATTATTTAAAAGAGGCAGGCCGGGGGCGGTGGCTCACGCCTGTAATCCCAGCAGGCCGAGGCGGGTAGATCACAAGGTCAGGAGTTCAAGACCAGGCTGGCCAATATGGTGAAACCCCATCTCTACTAAAAAAAATACAAAAATTAGCTGGGAGTGGTGGTGGATGCCTGTAGTCCCAGCTACTCAGGAGGCTGAGGCAGGAGAATCGCTTGAACCCAGGAGGCGGAGGTTGTAGTGAGCTGAGATCAGGCCACTGCACTCCAGCCTGGGAGACAGAGCAAGACTCTGTCTCAAAAAAAAAAAAAAAAAAAAGGAGGCAAAGTGTGCATGTTTGGCTAGTGATAGCAAGCTAGTAAAGAAGAATCCCTGCAAGTTACAGGAGTCAGAGGGGACTGTCTGGTTATCTGTTGCTGTGTAACGAATCACCTCAAAACTTAGAAGCATAAAACTGCCACTGTTTTATTATGCTTGCAATTCTTTGTGTCTGGAATTCTGACAGGGCACAGCAGGGACACTTTGTCTCTGCTCTACAATGTACAGGCCTCCGTTGGGATGCCTTTGACACAGAGGGTGGCTGGCACTGTGTGAGAGCCTCCACTTTTCTCTGCATGTAAGATGGCTTCTTCATGTCTGGCACCTGGGCTGGGATGGCTGGAACAGCTGGGGTCTGGCCAGCATCACTCATTTTCCATGTGAGTTCTCTACATGGCTGGCTCAAGCTTCTTGACAGCATACTGAGGGTCCCTGGGTCCCAGGACCCCAAGTGCAAAGTCCAAGGTTCTTATGACCTAGTCTTGGAAGTCATGCAGAGTTACTTCTATTGCATTCTCTTAGTTACATATGGCCAGGCCAAAGTCAGTGTGGTGGGGGCTATATAAGGATCTGAATACCAGGAGGCATGGTTCATTGGCAGCAGGGGGCATCTTTGAATCCTGGCTACCATAGGGATCATCAAGAAAGTGAGCTTTTTGGCCGGGCATGGTGGCTCACGCCTGTAATCCCAGCACTTTGGGAGGCCGAGGCGGGCAGATCAGGAGGTCAGGAGATCCAAACCATCCTGGCTAACATGGTGAAACCCCGCCTCTACTAAAAAATACAAAAAATTAGCCGGGCTTGGTGGCGGGTGCCTGTAGTCCCAGCTACTCAGGAGGCTGAGGCAGGAGAATGGCATGAACCTGGGAGGCGGAGCTTGCAGTGAGCCGAGATCATGCCACTGCACTCCAGCCTGGGCGACAGAGCAAGACTCTGTCTCAAAACAAAAACAAAAACAAAAACAAAAACAAAAACAAAAACAAAAACATGTGTCTAGAAGTGCTTGATTGCCTAAGAAGTATGTTTCTGGAAGCGCCATGAAGTGTCCTAACTGATGATTCCTGGAATTCCACTGTTAGTACCACAAATCTGTGTCAACTCAAACTCATTAGAGCATCAATGATTCACCATCAAAGTCAAGAGGTGGCCAGCTAGAGCTTTTCCAATGAAAGGGGTGCCCCCTCCTGCCCAAAGCTATTCTCATCTCAATGCTCTGGATCCTAATCCTGTTGGATTTCTCCCTTCCTTCCTTCCTTTCTTCCTCCCTTCCTCCCTCCCTCCCTCTGTCCCTCCCTTCCTTCCTCTCTCTCTTTTCTTTCTTTCTTTTTTTTCTTTCTTTCTTCCTTTCTTTCTCTCTTCTTTCTCTCTCTCTTTCTTTCTCTTTCTTTCTTTCCTTTCTTTATTTCTCTTTGTTTCTTCCTTCCTTTCTTCTTTCTCTCTCGCTCTTTCTCTCTTTCTTTCTTTCTCTTTCCTTCCTTCCTTCCTTCCTTCCTTTCTTTCTTTCTTTCTTTCTTTCTTTCTTTCTTTCTTTCTTTTCTTTCTTTCTTTCCCTCTTCTTTCTTTCTTTCTTTCTTTCTTTCTTTCTTTCTTTCTTTCTTTCTTTCTTTCTTTCTTTCTTTCTTTCAAATAAATCACCCATTCTGTGGTATTCTGTTAAGTGGCCAAGCAGCATGGCTCAGGCAGTCAGGACAGATTGAAAGAGGAGGGTTGGAGAAATCTAGCACAATTCTATTTTCCTAGATGAACTTCTGAGAAGTCACCTTGGCAGCATCCAACCCAGCTCAACTTGCATTCGAAGTAGGCTGTGCCGGCCTCCAGAACAAACTTCAGCTATCTGATTACCTGGAGAGGGGATGCTCTGATGGCCAGAGCTTCTGGCTTTCCATCAGACCCACACAGAATGTTCACTGGTTGTGGGAGGGCAGAATCCCTGCCCTCAAATCTCTCATCCATCTAAAGAACATGCTTGGAGGGAAATTAAGCAGAAGTAGGGCATTTGCGTGTGTATGCGTCAGAGTTGAGGTGAGTTGGCGGGTGGGGGAGAGGAACAAGTGACCCCCTCCCTTAACTTCCCGGAGGGAGGGGAACTATTGGCAATGGCCAGAAACAGGATAGAATTGTCCAAAGGACATGACCTCAGCTACAGGAATCTGAAAACACAAGTCACAGTTCTTATGTAAAAATGGCAAATTTCTTACCAGGAAGGAAAATTAAAAACAAAAAAGAGCTATGAGCACTTTAGCATGCTTTTCTGGGGATGACCCCTCTGTGGTGGGTCTCAGATGAAGCCTGCCATGACCATATCTGACAGGCTGGTGCCTCCCTAGACACTTCCCTCGCCTTCTATCCTGAGTGTAATCCCAGCGCGCTCCAGAGGTTTGGCCTTTCTGAGAAGTGAGGGCATGACTCAGTCAAGGTTCTATTGTTGTAAGTAATGGAAACTGACTTGAGTTAACTTCAGCAGGGAAGGAAATTCACTGGAAAGAATCTGGTTTATCTCACACAAGACAAGGGCTGCTGGGCCTCCTGAGGCATGGGACCCAGGAGTCAACATTTGCCAAAGTGTGTTCCATGGTTTGCTACTCCTAGCAGATGCCTGAGAAAATAAAACGCTCTGTGATCCAATGAGTTCGGGAAATGCTACTTATCTTTTTTCTCTTAATATGCACGCTGGCATATTAAAGGCTCTGATAAGTCTTGCAGCAAGAAAGCTCATTTAAGTAGACAAGCACTTCCCTAAAATATTTGTGGAATAAGGTATACTTGTTGAGAAGGTGATTAAAGAGGAAGAGTTTCCCACCCTGGCTCTCACCCTGTTGTGATGGGGAGCTGACTTTACTGTGAAGAATATATACTAGACAGGCTATATGTCTAATGGTTAGGGGCATGGACCACCTGCTTTTGAATCCTGATTTCACCACATGCTAGCTGAATGATCTAGGCAACTTATTTAGTATCTCTAGGTCTCAATTTACTATCTATAAATCAGAGGAATAATAATAATATCTCTTGAGGTTGTAGTAAGGATTAAATGAGCTAATCAAACTGTTTGGTTCACAGTAAGTACGAAAGTATTGAGCTATTATTACGGATTGAATACACACACTCTTTGCTATGAAATTCACAGCACTGGGGGTAGCTCCTGTTTAACAATCACTTGTTGGTGTCTACTCCTAATGGACTGGGGACACAGAGATGAGTCTGGTGGTATGTCCCAGCCTTCATGGGGCTCCCAATTCTGTGGGGTAGAACAAGCATATTAGAGATTATTACAAAGAGGGATGGTAAGAACAGAGTACTATGACAGCCCACAGGAGGAGCACCTAGCCCAGACTGAGGGGCAGGGGCGATAGCGGCATGGGAAGGGTGTTGCAGGCTAACGGCATGAAGGTGCCAGCCAGCTTTGGGCATCCCAGGCAGTCTGGTGTGGCCAGGGAATGAGGTGAGAAGTGATGGTGTTGAAGATGTTGGTAGAGACTGTCACAGGGAAGGCCTTGAACACCAGACCAAAGAGTTGGGGTGTTATTCTATGGGGGCTAGGGAGCTAGCAGAATATTTCTGTCAAGTGAGTGTCATGACAAGTGTGCATTTAGGAAGCTCCCTCTGGAAGTGATAGGACTCACTGGTTGGAGAAACCAAGCCTGGAAGCCAAGAGATTAGGGAGAGCTGGTTACAGAAATCAAACTGGGAGATGGGGAAAGACTTGGCTTGGGTGACTTGATGCTGCTGCTAATTGAATTGATGATTGGTACTGATTTAGATGAAAGTCCTGAGCTTGAATCATGTTGACTTGGAGGACCCTGTGGGCAATACAAGTCTCAATATTCAACAGGCAGTTGAATATGTGGGCCTGAAGAGATAGATCTGGGAGCCGAGGGTATTTCAATGGTAATTGAGTTCATAAGAGTGGATGGGATTGTTCGGAGAGGGTCAAGATCAAGGCAACCCTGGGTAGCTTGACCCTTCAGGGGAGCAGGGAAGCAAATTCTGCTAAAGAGGTTCTGCAGACACCTAGCAGTCCATATTTCTTACAGATTCAAATTCTCAGAGGAACTGGTTTCTCTCCTCAAGAGAAACCTCCCCTCTCCTCAAATCCTGTCTGTCTGTCTTGAACCCAGGCTATTATGATTAGGCCCTAGTATGACATAATGGCTTCAGGGCCAAGAGAGGATATCCAAGGGGCCCTGCTCTTCACTGTTACCTTGTCATTGCTACACTTTGCCACACCCTGTACCAGTTTCCATCTCTACAACAGGGAGAACTGGATTTTGTCAGCTGCTTCCTCCCAAAAGTTGTTACTACAGACACAAGAAGGATGGAGTCAGCAGAGTGACAGCTGAGGAAGTGATGCAGGTTGTCCTCATTTCTGGGGACTTATCCAAACCCTTCTGCACCTTTGGGTACCTGCACCCGCAGCCACTACTTGGTTGCGGTGAGTGCTAGACTAGCCTGATGAGAGAGGAAGCAAGGAGATTTTAATGCATAGGGTTTAGTGAACACATCCAGGCACTCTGTTCCTTCCTTCTACTGTTCAACCTGTAGAATAACAGGCACACAGGTGAAATTGTCTTACCTTCATAGGGGTTCACGAGGGTTGGAGCTGACAAACCAGTTTAAATGATAATCAATTGAGCTAATAATGCCCATGTCTTTCCAAAGGGAGAACTAGTACCAATCGGGAGTAGTAGAGGGAGTTACAGGGGAATAGAAAGTCCCTCTTGATGCTAAGCATCTTTAGAAGTGATGCCTGGAACAGAATAGGCTCTTGGGCCTGGATTATTGGGTGACAACTCAATGCTTCCACACTCTCCTCTCTGCACAAAGGGCTAGAAGCCTGAGAACTACATTTCCAGGAATCTATGAAACATAGGTTCCAGGTTAGAATCTTTCCATGAGAAGCAGATGCATGAGATTCAGAAGTCAGAAAAGAAGACGAAGCCATATGGGAGGTGGCTCCTGCCAGCCCTGGAGTTACTCACCTTCAGCTGTGGTGAGTAGAGTGGTGGGCTTTGGCAGATGGCAGATTTTAAAACAACCTCAAAATTTTCCTGAAGCAACAGTGTTGGGGGCATCTGTGATCCTTGCAGGAGCTGCTGCAGATCCTGCAACTTTTTTACTTTCTGAAAATTTATAGAGAACCTTTATTATATAAATATCCAATGACCTTCCTTTTTCCAGCTATTCCAAAATTTCTGTTAAGTGCTGTATAACATTTGCTGTATACCAAATCACCCAAAACCTAGTTGCTTAAAGCAACAATTATATATTTAGTTCACAATGCTGTGGATCAGAATTTGTGCTAGGCACAGCTGAGTGGTTCTTCTGGTCTTGGTTGGACTCACTAATGCATTTTACAAGAACAGGCCGAATTCAAATTTATATCACATGGATACAGGGAAGAGAATCATCAGGGCCAATTTTACAGTCTACCACAGCATCTATTTCTTGTATTAAATAACCTTCCTGCTTCAAAGACCCAGAGAGTTTTTATTTCCCTGAGCAAACCTTGAAGATGTAACATCACTCTGTATTTCTGGTCTTGGTTGGGCTCACTAATGCACAAAGGCTCACTAAAGAGGCAGGTATTGAGACTTGGATTAAGTAGTGGGCTGAGGGTTAAGGATTTGGGTTTAAGTCCTGGACTGTGCCACTTCTTGCAAGTCAACCTTGGGCCAGTTTCTTCAGAGTCTTGAACCCTTCTCTCTCAAATGGACATGGTTAAACTTATGTGCAGCCATCAAGTAAAACAATGGTTGTAAAGTAAGTTTGAATAGATTAATGATCATATCCTACATTTGAATAACACCACGCTGTGAAACCTTCCCACCTGGGGACTGCTGGATCAGGGGCCAGAGGGCAGGGGCTGCTCTGGTGGGATAGAAGTCAGAAAGATGTTGGTCACTTGCTTTTCTCCCCTCTTGGATTCCTTGGTGTATTTTGGGGCTTAGAAGTAAAGAATGAATGGCCAGCCAAATCTTCCATTTGCAGCCTCTGTGTTGGAATTAAGCCAGAGTTTGGAAAAGCCCTAGAACTGCTGGAGCCAGGACAAACTCCAGGGCTGGCAGGAGCCACCTCCCATCCACTGCTCCCATCTGCCCTCTTGGCTGCTGGTGCAGTGAGGCCCTGCTTGTCCTGGCCCATCCTCTCCCCAGGCCTCATGTGCTCAGCTGCTTGAAAGACCACTCCTCAGCTCCTTATTAGTCCCAACTCAAGCTGGACATGATTCACAGGGATAATGAGCTCGTAAATAAATTCCTGCTGCATCAGCTCATGGAGCTGAAGGTTAGGCTAGGGATGTGGGCCAGGGCAGGCAGAGGGAACCAGGCCCAGAGATTCAAATGTCCCCTGTGTTTTCTCCAGGGGATATATAAGGAGGGTGATGAAAACTTAAGAGATCCTGTGAATCCATCACTGGAATGTTGCACAGTGGCCTGGTTATGCTCTCAGTGCAGAGATCCTGGATCCATAATCCCATACTCTACTCTGCTTTCAGAATCCAGTTCTGCTAGAGATAGATTTTTTGGAGGCCAATGGCCAGTGGCTGTGTGTTCAGCAGAGCAGAACCAGGGCAGCAAGCTCTGTGAAGAGCTGAGCTGGCTGCTGAGGAATAGGGGATGTGTTCACATTTGTTGGGGTTTACCAGTAGAGAGAGGTCACAGGGAAATAATAAAAAAAAAAGTTCAGCACAATCCCAAAATAAAATGAGAGGTCCTAGAAAGACATGCACTTCCTATTAGTGGAAATGTGCAAGAAGAGGCAGGAAACTCCTTATAAGCATCAATGTGGGAGAGTGTGAGACAGTAGCTGAGGGTTGATGAAATGCCTTTTGAGGCCCCTTTAAGCTCCCTGTGTCTACAAGCTGTGTGGAAGGCAATCTGCCTTGGTGTTTGGCTATGCCTGCTTCTGCTTAAAACCTACCAGTGGCTTTTCATCACACTTAGAATAAAATCACGAAGGCTGGGCGTGGTGGCTCATGCCTGTAATCCCAGCACTTTGGGAGGCCGAGGCAGGCAGATCACAAGGTCAGGAGTTCAAGACCAGCCTGGCCAACATAGTGAAACCCTGTCTCTACTAAAAATACAAAAAATTAGCCGGGCGTGGTGGCGGCCACCTGTAATTCCAGCTACTCAGGAGGCTGAGGCAGGAGAATTACTTGAACCCTGGAGGTGCAGGTTGCAGTGAGCGGAGATTGCACCACTACACTCCAGCCTGGGCGACAGTGCAATACTCTGTCTCAAAAAAAATAAAAAAAAAATAAAATCAAGAAAAATTTTCCCAAGTCAGTAGTCACTTCTGTATTATTTCAGACTATTCTCCCCATTGTTCACTGTGCTCAATGCCACCTACCTTTTTCTCACCCTTAAACTTGGCCTCTAGTTGGGATAGACTGGGCTGTGCTGCAGTAACATAACAAACCCTGGAATCTCAGTGGATCAGCTCCTTATGTGTTTGATTCTTCTTTATGGACTATTCATATGGGCTGGCAGGTCTGTTCTCTGCCTAGTGACTCAGGAATCCAGGTTCCCTCCATTTTATGATGCTGCTGCCCCAAAGCGTGGCATCCAATGTGGCCCTGGTGGGAAATTTATTTGGCCCAGCATTGACACTTGTCGCTTATGCTCACAGTCTGTTGGCTAGAACTAGTCACACAGCCCAAGCACAAATGTAGGGGAGGCTGGGCATTGGAGGGGAGCACATGGATATTGGGTGGGCACTCATGGTCTGGGCATGTATCTGTCAGGGTTCCAAATTGCAAGCAATGGAGAGTGACTTCAGGTGTTTCAAGCAGAAAATAAATTTACTAAAACAATATTATGGAGTTTACTGAATCTCCTAAAAAGCCAGAAAACTAAGATTAAAGGTGATGTAGCTAGAAATAGCATCCCCAATCATGCTGTAGAGCAGCTCTGAGATGTTGCTCCTGGGCGCAGACACCATGGCCATCCCTGCCAACAGTGCTGGCACTGAACATGAAGTCTGCCACATAGCCATAGCCATAGCTGCCCCAGAGACTGGATATGGTTACTGCATTAAGGACACCCTTGTCAGCCTGCAGCCTGTACAGCCCCAGCTCCTTTGTGTCACTCACTTCTGACTCAAGGTCTAGGATCAGCATGTCTGATTGAGGAGCCTAAATGAGCCATGTGCTAGCTGCAAGGCAGGCTGACTGTATTAGTCTGTTCTCAGACTGCTAATAAAGACATACCCAAGACTGGGTAATTATAAAAGAAAAAGAGGTTCCTTTTCTTTTTAGAAGAACACTGGACTCATAGTCTCACGTGGCTGGGGAGGCCTCACAATCATGGAAGGCAAAGAAAGAGCAAAGATACATCTTAGATGGCAGCTGGCAAGAGAGCTTGTGCAGGGGAGCTCCCATTTATAAAACCATCAGATCCCATGAGACTTATTAACTATCACGAGAACAGCATGGGAAAGACCTGCCCCCATGATTCAATTACCTCCCCACGGGTCCCTCCCATGATACAAGGGGATTATGGGAGCTACAATTCAAGATGAGATTTGGGTGGGGACACAGCCAAACCATATCACTGACAAAACAAATATCTGGCATTTTACCTCCTATGGAAGGCCCTGGTTTTCAAGGGGAGCCTCAACTGAGAGTGATGAATATTCACTGCATTATCTCAGGGCCTTTGCACTTGCTGCCTCCTCTGTCTACAGGTATTTCCCCAGATGTTCTCAAAGCTGGCTCTTTCTCTGCTCAAACGCCAGCTCTGACAAGCAAATCTAATGCAGTCCCCGTGAGGCAATCACATCCACCTGACTTGTTTTCTTCGCAGCACCTGTCCCTACCTTGTCCATTCATTTGTTTACTGATTTAATTTCTGTCTACCTGTAAGAGGTAACAAGCACAGGCCATCGTAGGAGACAGGTTCAAACCCCAGCCCTGCCATTTACTAGCTGTGTGACCTTGGACAGCTTACTTATTTGCCTTTGCGGCGCCTGCAGTTTCCACATCCAGCGGTGGTGTGTGCACGTGTCTCGGGGAGCAGGTTCGGGCTGACTCAACATCTGCCCTGTGCTGGCCACTGTGCTAGGCCTCTGCTTCTGTAATCTCATTAATCCCCAGCACATCATTGTGAAATGCCCCTTATTTGTGTCCTGGTTTCCCTCAGGCTGTGAGAGGTAATGTACAGGCTCAAGTCCACACCACGGGAAGCAGTGCAAAGCCTGTGTACTTCCTGCAGTCATCACACAGCAACCCCCTTCAGACTCCAGGCCTCTGTGTTTGGGGGTGTAAGGGACTGTTTCTCTAGTTGGTGAGATTATAAAATAACCTCCACGGAGTATTCCTGTTGTAGTGGGCTGAGAATCCCTTCCTAACCTCTAACCTTTGTCTCTGGCTGTAATTTTATCCCAGAGAGAAGGGGTGTGGCACATGGGCCTAGGGCCGAGTGTGAGCCCAGGTGATAGAAGAAGGCAGTTACACCCCAAAGGCTCACTCTACCCTTGGAGCAGTCAGATCTGGGGCAGGCATTTAAGAATTCAGGCACAAAGGAGAGGCCAAGGGCCCACAACAGGGAGGCAGACATCCCTGGCTTCCAGGAACACATGGAGCGAGACACAGTCCCTCCTCCTGTATCCTTGTTCCTTGGCTGAGCACATGGAAGAGGGGGTGTCTCCAGGCCCAAAGAGGAAGCCTGAAGGTTGTGTGGAGGTGGCCACCTGGGAGTCAGGTGGAGGGCTCTTTTCTTTGACTATGTAGATCTTATGTACTTTCCTTGATGACAGGCTGGATTTGACCTTCTGGTCATAGTTGGGGGACTTTTACTCTAGATCATCTCTAAGGACTATTCCAGCTTTGACCTCCCACCTGGGTACGGAAAGAGACTGAGGCTCTGACAGGTGAAGTAGGTTTGCCCCGGTTTGCAAATGTGGCTGGAAGGGAGGTGGGGACAGGCTTTATTCATTTCTGATCTCTTAGGGATCTCTGAGAGCCTGGCACAGAGCAGGTGCTCAGAGAGCCTTTGGTGAATGAATGAATGAATGGGTCCTGAACTTGGGTAACAAGAATATGGCAGGGATTATGTATTTTTGTTGATGGGTGTTGTGAACCTGTAAGGACAGGAAGGAAGGAGTGCTGAGGCTGACAGTGAGAGAAGATAGAGGGAGTTTCCGGCACTCTGGGGCCGTTCACTGCAGTATCACAGCAAACAGCAATCATGTGCCCTGGACGGGCATTCCTTTGTTACCGAGAGGCACAGGAAAGAATGGTAACACAGTGGCTGGTCATCAGAAAGAGATGCAAGGATGCTGAGCGTATAAAGCTGCAGGATGCATTGCATTATGCATGCCTGAGTCCTGTAGCTTGCTTTGTAAAGCACAGTGCTTATTTTAATAAGTGACAATCTTTAATGCAGTGGGGGGAAAATCACAGCTTTGTAGATGTCTCATTGTTCTCAGAAGTGATGCTTAGCTTCAAGAAACACCAAGTTGGATGGGCAGCTAGGCAGGGACTTTGATGTCCTTCTGGTTTGCTTTCTGGGGCAGGAAAAGGATGAGTTCTCCTAGTGTCTTGTACACATCAGATGCTCAGTCAAAGTCTGATAAATAAATGGTTCTCTCCCTACATCTGATATAGTGCTGTCTTACAGTAGAAAACCTAAGGAACATGTGACTACATTCACCCATTCATCTCCTAGTTGCTTGCTGACATTTGAAATTTATTTGCAGACTCACGTGTAGTGGTGATAGATAAGGCTTCATGTGTGGGCTTGGGCCCTGATGAGAACTCCCACCATGGCTCATATGGTGTGCACGTGACTCCACTGTGCTGGGGTGCTTTCAGAGATGAGCTAGGACAAAAGAATGGGGATGGTGGCTGGGTGGGGAGTGGGGAGTTAGGAGTGGGGGAGTGTAGTGTTATGTCCTGAGAATTAACCTGGGGGATGGAGAACAACTCTCTCTGTTTCACAGTGTCTCAGAAAAGAGACCTCAGGGATATTCAATTTCTCCTTTTCCTACAAATTGCTAGCAGCAGAATCAACCTGAAGTTCTAACTACCCTGGTCATATATTTGGCTGGCCATGGCTGATGCAGCAGAAAGTGTAGAGCAGGAGTACTTGGCTGAGGTGTAGCCACACATGTCCTCTCATGGCGGGTGTTGGTGGACCCTTGAGTACAGATGTGGCCCTCTACCAATCTAGGGGTATAAAGGCAGCTGGCGTCTAAGCCCCTTTGACCTGGTGATCTCCTTACTTCATGCAAGCTGCCTGGCCCACTGGACTTTGCTCATACCTCCTGAGAACAAGGTCGTCGCTAGGGGACTGTGTCTACCCCCTTGCAGGCTCATCTTGTGTCCATCCCTGACACTGCTTGTTTTCTGAGCACTTCCTTGAGACATGGCTGAGGCATAGTGTTCACAAGCCTTCCAAGCAGACCCAGCCCTTGGGGATCTGGCCCAGTTCAAACCCATTCCTAGAAAACCCAGAATTGGATCTCTGTGGCCACAATATTGAAAGACTAGTTTTTCATGAAAAGGATGACCCTGATTGTTTTATTAAAGTATTGAAAGACATATGAACGTAAATGTCTTTTTAAGTTGATGTATAATAATCATACATATGAACTCATTTATGCCTGAGGTTGCAATTTTTTTAATTTTTGCAAACAGACCTTCGTGATGACCTTGAGCATTAGGACATAAATAACTCCCGCATGCTTAATGTTCCATTATTGGTATGCTAAACATAAATGGGCTAGCCCCATTTATGGGGTACATGTGATATTTTGATACATGGATACAATGTATAATGATCAAATCAGGGTATTTAGGATATCTATTGCCTCAAATATTTATCTTTATTTTGTTGGGAACATTTTAAATCTTCTCTTATAGCTATTTTGAGATATACGTTAAATAATTGCTAATTCTAGTCACCTTACTGAGTCATTGAACAGTAGAACTTACTTCCTCTAACTGTATGTTTGTATCCATTTTCCAACATCTCTTTATTCCCTCTTTACCCTTCCCAGCCTCTGGTAGCTATCATTCTAAGCTCCACTTCCATGAGATCAACTTTTTTAGCTCTCACATATGAATAAGAACATGTGATATTTTTCTTTCTGTGCCTGGCTTGTTTCACTAACATAATCACCTCCAGTTCCATCCATAATGCTGAAAATAATATGATTTCATTCATTTTTATGGCCAAATAGTATTCCATTGTGTATATATGCCACATTTTCTTTATCCATTTGTCCGTTGATGGACACTTATGTTTATTCCATATCTTGGCTCTTGTGAATAATGCTCCACTAAACATGGGGGTGCAAGTATCCCTTTGATGTACTGATTTCCTTTCCTTTGGACAAATGCTCAGTACTGGGATTGTGAAATTGTATGGTAGTTATAATTTTAGTTTTCTGAGGAAACTTACTGTTTTCCATAATGGCTGTATGAGTGTATTAGTTTATATTCCCACCAACAGTGTGTAAGAGTTCCCTTTTCTTTGCATCCTTGGTAGTATTTTTTTTATTATAGCCATTCTAATTAGGATGAGATGATATTTTATTGTGGTTTTGATTTGCATTTCCCTGATGATTAGTGATGTTGAACATTTTTTCATATACCTATTGGCCACTTGTATGTTTTCCTTTGAGAAATGTTTATTCATGTCCTTTGCCCACTTTTTAATGGGATTATTTGTTTTGATGTTGAGTTGTTTGAGATCCTTTTATATTCTGGATATTAGTCCCTTGTTGGATGAATAGTTGTAAATATTTTCTCCCATTCTATAAGTTATCTGTTCAATCTCTTGATTGTTTCCTTTGGTGTCCAGAAGCTTTTTAGCTTAGTGTAGTCCTATTTGTCTACTTTCGTTTTTGTTGCCTGTGCCTTTGAAGTCTTAGACATAAGGTCTTTGTTAGACCAATGTTCTGAAGTGTTTCCTCTTTGTTTTCTTCTAGTATCTTGTGGTTTTGAGTCTTATATTTAGGTCTTCAATTCATCTTGAGTTGATTTTTGTATATGGTGAGAGATATGGGTCTAATTTCATTCTTCTGCACATGGATATCCAGTTTTCCCAACACCATTCATTGAAGAGAGTGCCCTTTCCCCAGGGTATGTTCTTAGTGCCTTTGTTGAAAATCAGTTGGCTGTAAATACATGGATTTATTTCTGAATTCTCCATTCTGTTCCATTGCTCTATATATCTATTTTTATACCAATATCATTCTGGTTTGATTACCATAGCCTAATAATATATTTTGATGTCAGGAAGTATAATGCCTCCAGCTTTGTTCTTTTTGCTCGGTGTTGCTTTGGCTATTTGGGGTCTTTTGTGGTTCCATAGGAATTTTGGTGTTTTATGAAAACTTCTGTAAAGAATGTCATTGACATTTTGATAGGAATTGCATTGAGTCTGAAGATTGCTTTGAGTTGTGTGGCCATTTTAACAATATTAATTCTTCTGATCCATGAGCATGGGATATCTTTCCATTTGTTTGTTTTCTCTTCAATTTCTTTTATCAGTATTTTGTAGCTTTCATTGTAGAGGCTTTCACCTCCTGAGTTAAATTTATTCCTAGGGATTTTATCCTTTTTTGTAGTTATTGTAAGTGGGATTGTTTTCCTGATTTCTTTTTTTCAGCTAGTTTACTAGTGTGTAGAAAAAAACTAATTTTTTTTGACTTTTGAATGTTGATTTTGTATCCCACAACTTTACTAAATTTGTTTATCTAGTCTAAGAGTTTTTTTTGGTGGAGTATTTAGTATTTTTTAGATATAAGATCATATTATCCGCAAAGAGAGAAAATATGACTTTCTCTTTTCTAACTTGAATGCCTTTCACTTCTTTTTCTGGCCTGATTGCTTTGGTTAGGGCTTCCAGTACTGTATTGAATAAGAGTGGTAAAAGTGGGCATCTTTGTCTTGTTCCAGTTCTTAGAGGAAAAGCTTTCAGCTTTTCCCCATTTAGTATGTTAGGTTAGGGTTTGTCATGTGTGGCCTTTTTTATGTTGAGGTATGTTCCTTCTGTGCTTAGTTTGTTGAGTTATCATGAAGGGATGCTAAATTTTATCAAATTTTTTTGCACTTACTGACATATAATATGGTTTTTGCCTTCATTTTGTTAATGTAATGTATCACATTTATTGATTTGCATATGTGGATTTGCATCCCTGGGCTAAATCTCACTTGATCATAGTGTGTTATCTTTTTAATGTGTTGTAGGATTCAGTTTGTTAGCATTTTGTTCAGAATTTTTGCATCTATTTTTATCAGGGATATTGGTCTGTAGTTTTCTTTTTTTGTTGTGTTCTTGTCTGATTTTGATAGCAGGGTAATGCTGGCCTGATAGAATAAGTTAGAAAGAATTTACTCCTCTTCAATTTTTTGGAATAGCTTCAGAAGAATTTGTGTTAGTTTTTTAAAAGTTTGGTAGAATTCAGCAGTAAAGCTACTTCAG